>NC_000011.10:31120606-31272121 GCF_000001405.40 Homo sapiens | reverse complement strand
GGCACGATCTCGGCTCACTGCAGCCTCCGCCTGCTGGGTTCAAGTGATTCTCCCGCCTCAGCCTCCTGAGTAGCTGGGATTACAGGTGCCCGCCACCACACCCAGCTAATTTTTGTATTTTTAGTAGAGATGGGGAATCAACCATGTTGGCCAGGCTGGTCTCAAACTCCTGACCTCGTGATCTGCCCTCCTTGGCCTCCCAAAATGCTGGGATTACAGGCATGAGCTACCATGCCTGGCCTGAGGTCTGATCGTTTTATAAGGAGAAGTTTCCCTGCAGAAGCTCTCTCTCTGCCTGCTGCCATCCATGTAAGATGTGACTTGCTCCTCCTTGCCTTCCACCATTATTGTGAGGCCTCTCCAGCCATGTGGGATGGTAAGTCCACTAAACCTCTTTCTTTTGTAAATTGCCCAGTCTTGGGTATGTCTTTATCAGCAGCATGATAATGGACTAATACAATGCTCAAAACAAGTAAGAATTTTAAAATGTCCTTTGAATTTGTCAATAGAGTAGTAATTGGTAATCATTGTGAGAATTATTTCAGTAAAGTGATGGTAAAAAAGCCAAACTGGAACAGGCTGAGAATGAATGGGAAGAAAGGAAAAGAAACAAGAGAGCATGGACAAATCTAAGACATTTAGCTGTAAAGTTGAGGAGTAGCTAGAGGGAGATATCAGGTAGGTATGGGGAGATTTAATTTTCAAGATAGAAAAGACTTACGTTTCAATATCAGTGGTAACAGGCTAGTTGAGAAGCAGTAGATGAATATACATGAGAGAGAAGAAATGATGGATAATACAAACTGCTTTAAAAGCTGAGAGCATACATAATTGAAAGGATAAGTGGAATATTGGCCTTAGATAGGAGCAGGAACTCTTGTAATATAACTGGAAGGAAAAAGAGTGGATGGCTGTAGAAATAAGTAGGCTTGTAGCTTTGATAGCAGTAAGATGAGGCTTCAAATTTCTCTCTGACATAGGAGATCATGTCATCTGCTGAAAATGAAGAGGCAATTAGGGAAGGAAAGGCTAGGTAGAGGTAAGCAGATTAGAGATGGTTGGAAATACTCTGTGGAAAGTGGGAGAGAAATTTGACCAAAGAAATGAAATAGAAGTGGCTGGGCAGTACTGAGGGACTATGGAAGTTGGTGATCATGAATGATAGTAATGTTGATATGTTCAGTTGTGTGACTTTGTCCAGCAGCACCAGGCCTCTCATTGTGCCCACAGAGTGGAAAGTGAAGGTCGCCCAGAGTTAGGATTTTGCAAGCTATGTGTAGTAAAAGTTATCTAAGATTGAGGAAGAATGACTAGAGTTAGAGAAGATGATATGCTTGAACATCAAGATCCTGGGTGTTGGGGACAGCGCTTGTTTGTTTTTGTTCAATAAGAGGGTTGGGGAGAAATTATCTTGAAATAGCATTGTAACACCACTTTCCAAACTTGAGATTGTGTGATAGGAGAGAATAAATTCTCACCACTTGAGAGCGCTTTGAAGAAGTTAGTGACCTCAGGGGAAAGCCTAGTTTCTTTTAAAAGAGGTTGTGGGTCTAGTCAAATTTGTTGATCAGGGGAGATGTTTTCAGAGTACACAATGGAAGAGTTTTAGAAATGAATAAAGGAGTTCAGGCTAATTTATACAGAACAGAAAAATATAGAGCTTCATGTGAATGTTGATGCAAACTTTTTCCATAAAAGGCAAACAAAATAATTTTGGTTTTGCAAGCCAGAAGGTCTCTGTAGCAACTATCTCAGCCTTGCTGTTATAGCATGAAAGCAGCCATAGAAGATATGTAAATGATCAAATGTGGCTGTTTTACAAGAAACTTTATGTACAGTACTTAAATTTGAATTTCATGTTTAAATCTATCACAAAGTATGATTCATCTTTTGATTTCTGTTTTAGGAATTCAAAATGTACAAGCCATTCTTAGCCTATAGGCCACACAGAAACAGGCTATGGACTGGGATTGGCCTTTGGACTGTAGTTTGCTAACTCCTACAGTAGAGAATCTTTTGAGGAGAGTGTGTTGGGGAAGTGTAAGTTGGGGCTTATGCTTCCAGGCATTAACTCATAGAACCATATTAAAAGGTTTCAAGGTTCTCTGTCTGAGGAGAACTGACATTTTTGGGTCTGATGGCTTATTAACCTGGTTCATATGACCTACGGTGATGTTGGCCTAAGTATACTCTCTCATCTGAACTGAAGTAGTGGCAACCCAGAGGTTCTGGCCATTCCAGGAGCTGCAAACTCTATAATAGATATGTCTGGATGTGGAGATGACTCCCAGATCTGTAAACAAGTAGATTAAACTGAAAACATTGTGGAATATTTTTTCCCAGGTGCTTTTCAAGAAGATTCTGGTTTTACAGCATGATGATTTAAAATTTTAGTATCAGAAGAGTTTCTAAAACTTGAGCTGCATGGAATTAACAGGCCAGGTGCAGTGGTTCATGTCTGTAATCCCAGCACTTAGGGAGGCTGAGGCAGGAGGATCAGTTGAGACCAGGGGTCTTGAGACCAGCCTGGGCAACATAGCTAGGCCCCATCTCTACAAAAATTAAAAAATTAGCTGGGTGTCATATGGTACACCTGTTGTCTCACCTGCTTGGAAGGCTGAAGACCTAGTAGGATTGCCTGAGCCTGGGAAGTTGAGGATGCAATGAGGTGTGATCATGCCACTGCACTCCAGCCTGGGTGACAGAGCAAGACTCTGTCTCAAAAAGAAAAAAAAAAGGAATTAACAAAATGTGAATGTGTAAAAGTAATATTTTAACAAGCTTAACAGGTACAGATTAGTGGAAATGCTATTTTAATTAACCTTAATATTACAGCAAGATGACACCATAATGTACTTTTCAATTGTAAATTATAAGAATGACCTTACAAGTAGAAGCTTCATTTCAGGGCTTTTGACAGAAACTTATAGTGCTACTAATTCATACCACTGATAATTTACTCCGAGAAAATGATTACTGAAGGCTGGCATTGCTTAAACACTGCAAAGATTTTTCATTCTTCAAGTAGGAAGGAATGACAGAGTTGCTCATACATTATTAAATGTTAGTGTTTGATTTTCTAATGCCAGTTTTAAAACTCATTTAACTTTTAAAACTTGCACAAAGGTTTGGTTTGCACAGACATTTTTACTGATGTTTTAGCTCAATGAAAAGGGGAATCTTTGAGTTAGAAAGTGTTGTAACCAGTCAGAATGTCTATTATGAAAAAGTCAAAAAGACAACAGATATTGGCAAGGCTGTGGAGAAAAGGAACGCTTATACACTGTTGGTAAGAATGTAAATTAGTTCAGCTACTGTGGAAAGCAGTAAGGAGTTTTCTCAAAGAACTCAGAACTACCATTTGACCCAGCAATCCCATTACTGGTTATATATATCCAAAAGAAAAATCATTCTGCCAAAATGACGCATGCACTCGTGTGTTCATCACAGCACTGTTCTGAATAGCAAAGATATGGAATCAAGCTAGGTGCCCATCAGCAGTGGATTGGATAAAGAAAATGTGGTACATATGCACCATGGAATACTATGCAGCCATAAAAAAGAATGAAAGTATGTCCTTTGCAGCCACATGGATGCAGCTGGACGCCCATTATCCTAAGCAAATTAATGCAGGAACAGAAAACCAAATACCACATGTTCTCACTTATAAGTGGGATCTAAACATTGGGTACTCATGGACATAAAGATGGCAACAGCAGACACTGTGAACTCCTACAGCGGGAGGGAAGGAGGGACTGATTTTTTTAAGACTCAAAGGCAGCAATATTTAAAATAATTTTTTTAAATTACTGAAATTTTGGTTGAAGTAAATGGGACTACCTTCAAGTAGATTATAGTTTTACTTAGTTTAATTGGTAAATTGTAACTTTAGAGGATACTTAGATATTTGAACCTTCACTCATAACTAGGAAATATAAATTGTACCGAAGGACATCATTATACTTTTAAATACAGTAATAACTTCATAATATTAAGAAATTGAGAACTGAACATGAGGACTGGAAAGATAAGTAATGTGGGGTTGTAAAGAGGAGATTATGTCTTGCTTACAGTCTATGAGACCAACTGTAGATGCTTAATAGTATTCAGACATGATTGGCTAAGGAGCAATTTGTACTGAATTATCTCCCTTGAGTATTTTTGTCAATGAGAGTGGTGGTGAAAGTGATCCATTTTACTTTCACTCCAGTGACAGGAGAATTTTGCCAGTCAGACACCAACTGTGTTAATTAGAGTATTAAAATAAAAACAAGCATGGATCCCATGCCAATGTCAGTCAATATGTTCCACTCTTCTTTTTGTTTCAAGCCACAGACAAACTCCAGTTTATTTTCCTGATACTTTTTTATATTTTCAACATTGCTTTCCCAGCATCTTTAGTAAAGGTTTCAGTCCATGGGATGGGGGTCCTAGGTGAACTTGTGGGCAGTAGTCACTGAAGAAATTGACCCACAAGAGTAAACAAGAAGGCAGGAAGAATAACCAGGGTTATTTAGAGAATCACCAGGGTTGTTACATTCTTTGCAAGTACTTTTTTATTTAACTAGGTAAAGCATTGATGTTGCGAATGATCTTTTCCTCATAAGTTAGAAAGCTCAAGAATATTCCTGGCTGGGCGTGATGGCTCACGCCTCTAATCCTAGCAATTTGGGAGGCTGAGGCAGGTGGATCACTTGAGGTTGGGAGTTCGAGAGCAGCCTGATCAACATGGAGAAACCCCGTCTCTACTAAAAATACAAAAAATTAGCCGGGCGTGGTGGCGCATGCCTGTAATCCCAGCTACCTGGGAGGCTGAGGCAGGAGAATCACTTGAACCCGGGAGACGGAGGTTGCGGTGAGCTGAGATCGTACCACTGCACTCAAGCCTGGGCGACCAGAGTGACACTACATCTCAAAAAAAAAAAAAATTCCTATAACATTATTCCTAATAATGAGCAGGTATGCATTCTTGATTGTGAGAAAAATAGCAGCAATACATTGCTCTGAATTGCTCAATGCTCTGAATTGCAGCTAGTGTGCAAGAAACATGCAACCCTTTGAATGGTCATGGGAGCATGTGGTCCATGGGGACATGATTAGTTATGTATAGGAGTAGAGTAGAATAAAGGCTGAGAACCTCTGGTACATACAGCCCAAGAAAGACCAATTTGTCAAATTAATTTGTCAGTTAAATATTTGCCTTTAAAATTCAACCTGTCTTTTGATAGAGCAACTATATAAACCAAATCAGTCACAATGTTTGAAAGCTGTTCTACAGGCTGAAAGGAAAGTGCAACTTTGCCTCTATATAAACACTAAGCTATTGAAATACATACATTGTCACAAAGCTAATGAATTGGTTAAGCTAGGACTAAATTATGGGCTCCAATAATAAAGTAGGGACAGAAGTGGGCAAAAAGAGACAGGTAGTATCGGCAACTGAAAGATGGTTTGAGCAGTTGAAAGATGTTCTGTTTACTATAATCATATTAATATAATTCACATTGTCCTTCAGTAGTAGTTCTTGGTTATGGGAAAGTAATATTATAGCTGGGAATAGTCAAAAATGGATGGCAGAGCACTTTCAATTTCAATTTGGAATATATTTTATATTTTTAGATGAATATGGTGAATTTCATGTTTTGGAAGTTACTTCTGAAAACCTATTAACAACCTGCCTCAGGTTACCTGACACTCCTCAAACCCCTTCTGTTCCCTTAATTTTCCTCACCTTGTGAGTAGAACTTTTTTTCCAGCTGAAGCATGTTTAAGTCTTCCTTGAAGTTGGAAAGATAATTGCCACATTGGTTTCAAAGGGTTGCATGTAAAATAACAAGAACAGGTCATGATATTGTAATATTAAAAGAGAGTGCATATTAGAAACCATTAAAGGTAAAGTCCTTGAGACTCATATTCATGGAAAACCTGAAATGTGATTTATTAAGTTCAGTTTTTAGTACCCAAACAACATAAGTTATCAAGGTGAACTGTGATCAGACTGTTTTTATTATTTATTTTAGGACATTTGGAAAACATTTAAAAGCTAAGGAAAGTAGGTACTTAAAATCTAATTTAAATGGTAATATCCTCTCATTGTGAAATAAATGGAACATACAGAAAGTTGCAAGACTAAGATAAAAATCCCTCAGAGTTCTAAAGGTCTACCATTTATTAAATAATAGATATTAAATAATAGATATTTAATAGATAATAGATAATAATAAATAATAGATAATAATAGATAAATAATAGATATTAAATAATAGATAACCAGTATTTAATATTTGTTGAATCTTCTTTCTTTCTTTTTTACTAATACTTACGTGTTTTTTTACACACATGCAAGTACAATGTAGCAATTTTAACTGCTTTTAAATTTCATATATTAGAACATTTTATAAATCATTAAATTTTATTTTACAATATAATTTTTAATAGCTGTGTAGTATAGAAAAGAGTTTAAATGTGTATTCAATTTAACCAGTTTACTAAATTATTTATAATTTTTTTTTCCTGCACAGGTTTTAGATACTTGTACAATAAGAATGAATCTAAATTTACCAGCCAGATATTTTTATGATTTGTATGGCAGAAAAATTGAAGATATTTCAAAAGGTAAGTGGCAAAGATTTTGTAAACCATTTGATAATATTTTGAAAGACATTTATATTTTGTTTTTACTTTAAACATTTAAAAGAAAAACATATAATAAAACATAGTTTAATTATAACTTGGATAAATATTCTTATACAAAGGAAAATCATGAAAGGACATTAAGATTTTAGGAATCTTTTATTTCAACACAAGTTTGGAGTTTTTAAAAAATTGATGGGTATTTTAACCTTAGTAAACCATAATTAAATAAAAGTAATTAATACATTTTTATAACGTAACAGCCAATTTATATAGGATACAGCTTTCCAAAAACAAAAATGAGAAATTGCATTACTGTATGATCAGATAGATGTTTTAAAACTGTTTTGGTCAACTTCTAGAGCTTATTCAAAAGTTATGAAATGTAACAAACATACCAAACTAAATGTAGTTCAGTTTGGAACCACTAGGAAGAACTCCAGTAACCCATTACTCTCTACTAAGTGTGTATATCAGCAGTATGCTGATAAATGTTATCAATTGGTCTGAAAAAAAAAGTCCCTGATTTGTAGCATTTAGCAACTTCATGGTATAGGTGCTCATACCATGGCCAATCTGAAGCTACTACTGAATGCAGAGTTCAGAGGGAAGGGTTTTAACTCACTGAATAAAGTATTTGGAGAAGAGATGAGAACAATTGGTTTTAGCAAACTGGTACAAGTTGGCTCCGGCACATCATTGTCCCTCAAAGTATGTATCCCTTGTCACAGAATTGACAGAGTAGGAATTAATTTGACAATAGAGAAATTCACTCACTAGGTTCTTGCATTTATCAACTCTACTACTAGGTAGTACTTATTCTGGACCAGGCACTATTCTAAGCTTATCACAAACATTAACTTATTTAGTTCTCAGAGAAACTGTAATTCCTATTTATTGCAGTAACTGAGGTACAGAGAAGTTAGGTAATTTGCTCAACATCACACAACTAGCAAGTGGTGGAGTTGGGATGCAAACCTTGGCAGGCTGGCTCCAGTAGCAGCGTTTAACCATTGTACTCTGTTCTCTCTCTCTCTTTCTGCCTCCCTCTCTCTTTCCACTTTACTGTCTCGTCTATGTCAGAACTCCATTTGTTTTCCTAGTACTTTCCATACAGGATGTAATTATTGTATTGCTTTGTTACTTTTTTGTATGTATGCACCCTTCCTACCAGGCTACAGGCTTCCTGGGAACAGGCACTCAATAAATAGTACTTGGATTTTTGAATGAATCCTATATCACTCTCCTACATGATCTGTTTCTACCACAATGTAACATAAAAGAGGGCAAGAAGAGACACTATCTTTGTTGTAATACCAGTAGTAAGCACAGTTCCTGGGACATAGCTGACACTCATAAATGTGGCATGAATGAATTAAACTATCTACTCTTGGACATTTAGTTGGTTCCACTGTTATACTATTAAAAGTAGCTCATCTTCAGGCAAGAAAAAAGTTATGAAATGTACTTTAAAGTAATTTCATTGTCTTTGTCAAAAGAGATTAGATATCCATCTAATATCTCTAGAGATACTGTTTTGTTTTGCTAGCCTCTGAAAAGAAATTCCACATTTGTGAGTTTAAATATGTTATTGAAATGGTCCTATAACTTCATCCAAACTTTAACTCCATGCTTGAGGAGGGCCAAGATATTAAATAACATGCCTTTAACTGCAAGGGTAGTGATTCCGACAACTGAAGTGATTTTGGGATGTTGCTACAGCAGATACTTCCATTTGTTTCCCATTTTCTCACTTGTACTATATAAAAGCAGACTCTTTCCTTGATTTATCATCCTTAATTAATACTTACTGAATGATAACTATGATAGTTTGATACTTATTGTTTCTAACTCAAATTTTTTGGCCAAGGATTACATATGTGTGTATTCAGAAAGTAAATTTGTTTTTCTTGGCCTTTTAAAAAATGTTTTTATTAGATATCATAACTATTTTTCATTTTATTACATGTTTTTATCTGAAGATTTCAAATCTCCTGTAGATACCTACCCATTATCTAGAAGGATTAGGTAAGGTTATTTACCTGTAAAACATGTAACACAAAGAATCCTTCCTTTTGTTCTTTGGGGTTAATAAGAGTGTCATTATTAATGTTGATTTCTTTCTTTCTTGCATTTTTGTCTCCTCTTCCATTACTCTGGCTAAGATTTTCTTTATGATCAACAATATTTTGAAATTGCTCTTAAACTTGCATTAATAAAAATAAACAACATATTTTCTTAATACCCTATCTAGACTTGAATTATTTCCAGTTCACCTGGAATTAAAACATCAGATTTGAATGAACTGCTAGAATTGAAACTATAAGGGATCTTCGTTAAGATGAAAGATTTATATTTAGAAAGTTTATTTTTCTCCTCCCAAATATGGTATAACAGAATTACTTATCAAAACAGGAAAGCACTGACTCTGAGACGTGATACTTCATGGATGCCAGAGGCATTCGGATTCATGACTCGTGCTTCACGTATCCCAGAAGTGTGCTATTATCACATTTTAATGCATGCCTTGCCCTCTGTTTTTGCATCCTTATAAAAGCTTATGCCAGCTGAAATTAGCCTGTGCAACCACTAACATGTGGAAGCATTACAAGTTCACTGGACTTAAAATATTTAAAGAAGCTAATCCTGTTGGAGGAACTTCCAGTCTGTAGCACCCTAGTCACTTAACATTAGGTTTTTGAACTTCTTTTTTCTTTGTTTCTATGATGTTGTGCATCAAATGATTGAGATCCCTAAACTTTTGTGTTGGATGGTTTTCTGAACTTCAACTTGGGAAAGGTCAAGTTTTATGTGAAAGTTATCTTTTAATTTAAACAAATAAATGCTGATACTCTTTTGATTCGATATGTGACTTTTTTTTCTTGCTTTGTATCAGATCAGAAAAAATCTTTTAAAAATGTCTAATGTTAAAATCATAGCAATTACTTTTTATTTATAAGCACAGATTAGAAGTGTAATTGTACCAAGGACTAAAAGCAACAGATACACAAAATAAAAATTTTCTCCTACCTATTGCTTCTTTTTTGGAATTAGATATACTTTTAAGTTTTCCTTCTATGCTATGAGAAATAAGCACATTTGATATAATATTAAACTACTTTTAGTTTGTCAAGTAAACCTTTGAAAAGACCAACAGGATTGGCAAATTGCTTATTTTTAGATTTTATTCTAAGCCATAGACAATTTTTTTTTTTTTTTCCTGAGACAAGGTCTTGCTCTGTTGCCCAGGCTGGAGTGCAGTGGTGCAACCACAGCTCATTGCAGCCTTGAGCTCCCAAGCTCAAGCAATCCTCCCACCTCAGCCTCTCCAGTAGCTGGGATTACAGGTGCAGGCCACTGTGCCTACTTTTTAAAATATTTTTGTAGAGATGGAGTCTCTCTCTGTTGGTTGCTCAGGCTGGTCTTGAACTTCTGTGTTCAAGCAATCCTCCTACCTTGGCCTCCCAAAGTGCTGGTATTACAGGCATGATCCACCAGCCTGGCTTTTTTTTTTCTCCAGTAATGAGAGAGTTTAATTTATGTGAGGCCACATGGAAGAAGTCATTACTGAATTCAACCTCTACCACAGAAGATGATTTTAATAAAGACATTTTTATTGTTACGTATGAAAAAGTTATTTTGTTATGGTTCTTGTATAAATCTATCCTTTCTACAGTAGAAAGGAGTACACCTACTCACCTACTGTGTACAAATGCCATATTCCTACAGATGGTCAACATGCTGGTACATATACAGTTATTCCTTGGTATCCGTGGGGGATTGGTTACTGGAGGCCTCCCCCATACTAACATCCACAGTTGCTCAGGTCCCTTATATAAAATGGTGTAGTATTTGCATATAGCCTATGCACATCATCCTGTTTACTTTAATCTCTAGCTTACTTATAATACCTAATACTGTGTAAATGTTATATAAATAGTTGTTACACTGTATTGTTTTTAAACTTGTATTATTTTTATTTCTGTATTGTTATTATTATTTTAAAAATGTTTTTCATTCATACTTGGTTGAGTCCAGGGATGTGGAACCCAATAAGATGGAAGGCCGATTATGTATCTATGCATAAACAATACATTGTGCAAAATCACGCCCACCAAAATAACAGGGATATGGGGAAACTAGGGTTTGGGAAAACCATTCAAAAATCTATTAACCTTTAAAACCACAATACTACCTAAAACAATAATGATTAACTTAGGAGATAATGTAAACAGCCTGGGTAGGCATCTCAGAGTGCTGCTTTAGAAGATATTAAAGCTGCACAAAAACAATAGAGTGTGAGACAATGCAGATGGAAGTGAAGTGGAGATTTGGGCCAGTGGGGCTTCCTTTAAGGAATGGGCAAGAGCTAACATTCAAATTCATCTCTATGTTATTGGAATTTTATGATGAAATATATTAATCCTGTACTTAATCTAATTTCAGAATCTCCAAAAAATTTATCAGAGAATATACAACTATTTTGGAATAGAATTCTACCCCTACCCTTTTGGCTTCCTTTGTTTAGGACAAAGCATATATTTATTAACCAAACTTCTGTATCACTTTGACATCATTCCTCTATTTACTAATTATATATCAGCTATTTGCTGTTATACAAGCATTTCAGATGGAAGACAGATGTAGACAGTGTCTGATTTCGAGGGAGGTTTTAAATAACACACTCATTCCTCCTAACATTTCCAAACTTTTTGATCTCTTAACTTCTTTGGCTTAATTATTACATGATGGTGAACCAGAGGAGTCACTCTCCCTCTCAAGGGAGGAGATCCTTAGTCTGTTAGGACTTCTGTGAAGGATCCATTCCAATAATCATACCCTCGTTCTTTGTGGACCCTTCTAGATCATAATGAGTACTGTTAAATTTACCCTAGTGGTTCTGAAATGAGTTAGAATACTACATTAATTAAATTGACTCCAAGGTCATTCTGGACATACTGAATGTTCACTTCCTATTTCATTTCCCACCCCAAATTATGCCCAGCAATTCTGTCCAAAATATTTGTATATTCTCTGATAAATTTCTTGGAGATTCTGAAATTAGATTAAGTACAGGATATTTCATCATAAAATTCCAATAACATAGAGATGAATTTGAATGTTAGCTCTTGCCCATTATCAACTTTTGTGGAGACATTAAAATTAAAAGAATAAAATTTCAAATAAAATCCAAAATTTTAAAGTCCACACAGAAGCAAATTTCAAGATCAAATTATTGTACCTTTTTGAGTTAAAAACCAATAAAGTTTCAAACTCTTCAAGTTAAAGTGCAAAGAAATCAAAGTCCTAATTTTTATTCTTCCCAGTATCAGCCAGATGGCTTCTGGATGCCTGATTGGAGCTGGAATGTCTCCAGCAGCTACCGTCTGGGCTCCTGGAGTGGGTGTCATCCCTTAGGACCTCAGAAGTTGAATTAGGTCTACACCAACATTTTCATATGCCTTGTTTCCAAGCAAACAAAATGATTATCACAACATCAACAACATATCCAGCACATTCACAACAGTAGCCACTCCCAGGAAATGTGGCCACTGCATGCAAAATGATGTTTCCAGGACCCTATGTTTGGCATAATTCAGACCCACATGACTGCTGCCAAAGACCATAACAGAGACTAAGTGAGGGAAGGTAGAGAAGAGAAAATATTATCATCAGTCTTTCCAAGATGCCAGACGGCCCAAGCTGTTGACCAGGCTCTATGACCTGTGACCTAACTTCTTGGGAAGCAATCTCCCATTAAGGCATTAGTTACAGCATAAGTTTACAGTATCTTGAGGGAAAAATTGACCAGTGCACACTGTCTTCTGTCTCAAAGAGGCTGCACAAAGTGTTGGTTAAGTTCCCTGATTTTAGAGCCAGAATTCAAATTCCAGTTATGCCACTTACTATGTGACCTTGGACAGATTATTTAGCTTCTCTGAGAGTCAGTTTCCTTATCTATAAGATAGGAATTATAGTATTTACCTTAACAACATTGCAAAGATTAAGTGAAATATATGTAAAGTCCTTAGAACAAGTGCCTGACACTTGGTAAACAATATAAGGTATAATGTTTCAATAGTATAAAATTAGCTTTTATCATTATTGGCGTTATTATTATTATTTTTCTTTTTTGAGGTGGAGTCTCGCTCTTGTTGCCCAGGGTGGAGTGCAGTGGTGTGATCTTGGCTCACTGCAACCTCCGCCTCCCGGGTTCAGGTGATTCTCCTGCCTCAGCCTCCCGAATAGCGTGGATTACAGGCACCTGCCACCATGCACAGCTAATTTTTTTGTATTTTTAGTAGAGATGGGGTTTCACCATGTTGGCCAGGTTGGTCTTGAACACCTGACCTCAGGTGATCTGCCTGCCTTGGCCTCCCAAAGTGCTGGGATTTCAGACGTGAGCCACCGCGCTCTTAGGGAACCGAGAGTGAGAGTGTTTCATTCTTGCAACATCTGGCAGTTTGTGTTGGCAGTAGCACCAGTCATAAAGACTTATTTGAGGTATCATTTTTCCCTTTTAAAGAATTCCAAACATCTTAATGTTCTTTCCTTTTCTTTTTCTGAGTCAGTGCTTTTAAACCCCATGCTCAACTGAGGGTGATCAATGTCTGGTGGCATAGCATCCATCTTGTCTTAGGAGTGGCATCTTCAATCACAGTGGTTGCTGTAACAGCTTCTGTCTATGGAATTATTTAAGCCTAAGAAACTTACTTCATGGGCACAGTTTCCCCCTCATCTCCACATCAGTTCCAATTGTAGAATAACTTTTGGCGGGTTTCCAAATTGAAGCAGCTATTTGTGTTTCTGAGGCTTATGTGCTAAGGGTCCCAGTGAGGACGAACACTGCTGCCATTTCCTCCTAAGGACATGGTCTTTCCTCAGTTTTTTAATGCTCCTGCTCTTCAGTTAATGTTTCTGTCAGGCACTTCTTTTTCTGCAATGTTTAAGATTTGCTTCTACTATATACTTCTTCCTTTCAGAAAGTTCCCTTTTCTGACAGGCTTGGGGTTAGCATTGTTTGCCACAATTGAGTCTCTTCTTTTCTTTTATTAATACTTTCCTTTTGCTTTCTGGTCCATACTCATATTTTTCTAACATATGCCTCTAGATATTTTTCTTGCAGAGTCTCTCATAGTGAGAGAGATGAAGTCAATCAGTTCTAAGTTTGTCAATAGCATCCTTTGTTCAAACCAGTCTTACCTATTTTCACTTCCGTTAATTAAATAATCCTACCCAGGATGTATTTCTCCCACAGTCTAACATCTAACTTGGATCTGGAGTCTTTGATCAATTATTGTTCTGCCTGGATTTGCTGTAATGTAATTAATCTTGTCTTTGTCTTTCCTTAATCTCAGGCCCATCTATTTTTAGAGTTCACCCAGCACTTTTTTGTAATATTTTATACCAATCTTTCTCTCCAATTTGTCCAGATTTTATG
This sequence comes from Homo sapiens, assembly GCF_000001405.40. Lineage (NCBI taxonomy): Eukaryota > Metazoa > Chordata > Mammalia > Primates > Hominidae > Homo > Homo sapiens. Next base: position 31,258,047 of record NC_000011.10, on the reverse strand, counting down.
TGCACTCTTTGTATAATTGTCCTATCCTCAAAAGTGATTCCCCAGTTGCTCTTACTATAAATTTATCTGTAATGTAAATACCAACTCTTCTAAGCATTGGAGATACTGTCTCCTCTAGGGGATTGTTCTCAGTCTGCTCTCCAAGATCTTATCTTTATTCTTCTAATAGGTTTCACTGGGTCCCAGTTACTGTTTCTGATTTTGTAACAAATGAAATATTTTACCCTTTTATAAGAACTTCTTTAAGAGAAATTAGACTTGAATGGATCTCCTTCACCTGGCATTTAGGATCTCAGGTTTTAGCGTGTGTGTATGTGTGTGTGTGTATGTGTGTGTGTGTGTGTGTGTGTGTGTTTTCCTATCTGTCAAATATGTGTGCTTGGGTCAGATGCGTACCATTTTTCTAGGGAAATTTCTGATCTCCTCCAGTTAAATCAGTTTGTCTTATTTTATCTTATTTTCATGCATACACTGTTCTATTCTGATCATAATAATTAAGCATATTTTCAAGCCACTTTACTTTCTCCTTGATTCCTTCAGGAATCCGATTCCTCGATTTGTAATACTTTCTTCAAATAGTTTCTGTATCTTAACTGAAGAAGATAGAGTGTTCCTTTTGTTAAAAAAAATCTATCACCTTTCTGTAGGTGAAGCCATAGTTTGGGTTTATGAGATTTAGAACCATGGTTAAAATTTATACGATAAAATGTAGAGCCTACTTTGATTGATAGAGGTTACTTTAAAAGTTTATCAACAAGCCACATGAATCTAATGTTATCTCATCCACATTTCTTTTTTGGCCCAGAATGCAGTTTAATATAACATAGTGAAGAGTAGAATTGAAGGCAGCAGATGTAATGCTTCCTATCTAGGCCCAGTATTAACAATTTAAAGACAGAACCTCACCATCATGCATGTAGAACTCAGTTGCCGTTATCCTTGAAAGCGCTGGCCTACAGATTTACCTTCAAGATACAGAAAAGCAGCAAATATTGTTCCACCTTGCAACACCTAAAATAATGTAATCCCAATCTGAGACTTGCCTGAAGTTTCAGGTGAAGTTCACAGCTTGGTTAAGTAAGCAGTAGCAGCCTACACAGTAAGGAAGGCATGATCAGCTAGTAGAGCTAAGCCCTCCACAGCCCACCTCAGTATACTAATGCCATATGCAATCCCAGCATTTTCTGAACATCAAGACTATTGGAAGATAATCCCAGCTGCATTTAGTAGCTTTGCCCCATCAAGCTCAAATTCTGTGTAGTCTTTGCTTATTATAATAAGCAAATAATTTTATAAAATTTAAGGTCAATTTCCCTATTCTCTATATACAGGCCCATTTGTAAAAATACAACTACAAAGCTGTATATTCAACTACATGACCCAATATAGGCAGCTAGACACCGCTGAAGTTAAAGGCAAACAAACAAATCTTAAAGCCCTACATAGCCCTTGCATGTAAAAGCACCATCAAAACATGACGCCACTCAGTGAAAGCTGCTTCATAAGTCTCAGACTTTTTGTTATTTGCTCTCCAACAGCACTTCTGTATTTCTCAAGGTTTTAGACCAATTTGACCCCATAAGTATAGCACTTTCCTGAGTTTTGTGAGACATCTAGAAATTATTTAACCTGAAGGAGTAGTATAAATCCCAGAATTTGTAGCCAGCTGGTCAGAAGTAAGAGTGGCATGGGGACCCGCCAAACATGTGGCTGTTGTCTTAAGTAAAGACAGTCTTGTGGAGGATTGGACTGTACTCTTAACCTTGCAAACTACTTGCAGTGAACTCACACTTCCCAATTTCAAAACTTACTACAAGTAAAACTACAGTAATTCAAAGAGTGTGGTACTGGCATAAGGATAGGCATATAGATCAATGGAATAGAATTCAGAGTCCAGAAATAAACCAATACATCTGTGGCCAATTGACTTTTGACAAAGGTGTCAAGACCATTCACTGGGAAAAGAATAGTGTCTTCAATCAATGGTGCTGGTAGAACTGGATATCCACATGCAAAAGACTGAAGTTGGACCCATACTTCACATCATAAACATGAATTAACTCAATATGGATCAGCAATCTAAATAAAAGGGCAAAAACCATAAAACTCAGAAATAAACATAGGTTCACATTTTCACGACTGTGGATCTGGCAATCAGTTTTTAGAAATGATATCAAAAGTATGAGCAAAGAAAAGAAAAAAATAGCTAAATTGGACTTCATTAAATTTGGAATTTTTGTGCACCAAAGGACATTATCAAGAAAGTGAAAAGACAAACCATAGAATGGAAAAAATATTTGCAAATTATCTATCTGAAAAGGGTTTAAAACCTGGAATATATAAGGAACTCATGCTCAACAACAAAATACAAACAATTCAATTAAAAAATGGGCAAAGGACTTGAATCAACGTTTTCCCAAAGAAGTTATACAAATGGCAACAAGCACATGAAAAGACACTCAACATCCTTAATCATTAGGGAAATGCAAGTCAAAAATTACAATGAAGTACTACTTCACACATACTGGGATGGCTATAATAAAACTCACACACACATACTCACACACACACACAGAGAATAACAAGTGTTGTTGAGGATGTAAAGAAAGTGGAAGGAACCCTCACACATTGCTTGTGGAAATGGATAATGGTGCAGCCACTTTGGAAAACAATTTGATGAGTCTTCCAAGAGAAAAACACAGAATTACCACATGGCCCTGCAATTCCACTCCTAGATATTTAGGCAAAAAAAATTAAAAACAGGTACTCAAACAAGTATATGTACATGCATGTTTATAGCAACACTATACGTAATAGCCAAAAGCCAAATGTTCATGAATGTTCATGAAGCCAAATGTCCTGCAACTGTAGGAACAAATGGTAGTATATACATACAATGGAATGTTATTCAGCTATGAAAAGGAATGAAATGCTGATAATGCTACAGTATGGGTGAATCTTGAACACATTATGCTCAGTGAAAGAAGCCAGACATAAAAGGTAACATATTATATGATTCCATTTATTTGAAACATCCAGAGCGAATAAATCCACAGAGACAGAATGCAGATTGGTGTTTGTCATGGCCTGAGGGAAAAGGAGACTCTGCTTAATGTATGTATAAGTGGTTTTACTTTGGAATGATGGAAATATTTTGGAACTATATAGAGGTGGTGGTTGCACATTTTGAATCTACTAAATGCCACTGAGCTCTTCACTTTAAAATGGTTGATTTTATGTTATGTGAATTTCACCTCCATATATTATTTAGAAAAAAGACAAATGGAGCAGAACCAATTTGCCCCACTTGTTCCAGCCAAGGTCACCCTAGCTCAGCTGACAGCCAGCTGATTCCAAGACATGTGAGCAAGCCCAGGCAAGACCAGCAGAACCACCCTGTTAACTTGCAGACTCATGAGCTAAGTGAATGCTTATTGTTTTATGCCACTGAGTTTTGTGGTGGTTTGTTGTGCAATATTACTGTGGCAATATGTACCAAATATAGTAAGCTATTTGTACTTCTTAAATGTTATCACATAATTGTTATTCACTATTTAGACAGCTAAATTCTATTCCTAAATCTTAATCCTTTGTATTGTCAGAGTAATCTCCCTAAATATCCCTCAATTTTTTTGTTGTTCAAAATGTTACATTTCATGACAATCTGCACATTCTCGATTTTCACATTAAAGAAACTTCACTATGTGATCTTGCTCAGTCATCCGACTTAATCACCCACAACTCACAAGTACCCAACATGGACCTTTAGTTGTAGCTAGATCAGTCTCTTTAATGTTCCAGAGCATTCAGTGACACATGGGATGCCCAGCTTCCTTACCCTTCTTTATGCTATTTTCTGCTCACTTGGAATAATCTTCCAATTCTCCATCTATTCAAAGTTCAGTGAGTTGTGTCAGTTAGGATATATTATTTTATGGTAACAAATGACTCCACAACTTTCAGTGTATTATTTTGCCCTATAACTTTCAGTGGCTTATAGAAATGTATTATTTTTCACTCATGCTACATGTTGGTGTGGGTTGACTGCAGCTACACTTGCATATGTCAAAGCAAGTCACATGCCATCTTCTTAATTCAACAGTGTGAGGATGTCTGGCCCTTCCACGGGGAAGAGCATTGCAAGTGACACAGCTAAACCTGACATGAATAAGGTGGGAAGTGTACTTTTCCTTCAGGGAGGGGCAACAAATACTTTCAATAATAATGGAATACACTGTATTATCTCTTTTCTAAAATTGGTATTAGTTATATGTTGCTGCCTGACAAATTATCCCAAAATTTAGCAGCTTAAAGAAAAAAGCACATACTATTTCTCAATTTTTGTGGGTCAGGAATTCAGGCATGGCTTAGGTGGGCTCTCTGAGTCTTCTACAAGGCAGGTCAGCCTGCAAAGTTTTAAAATATTATTTAAATCCTACTTTATCTATTTGGTTTACTAATACCTTCTTTTCATAACCTCTTTTGTTTTTTTCTGTATCATAAACCATAAAATTGTTTATACAGTATTTCTGTTTTGTGTATCATTCTTATTTCTTTAACTAAAGATAACTTTTTGTCTTTTACTTTTAAAAAAATCTCCAAGGCAGGGCTTGCAGTGAGCCGAGATCGTGCCACTGCACTCCAGCCTGGGTGACAGAGCAAGACTCCATCTCAAAAAAAAAAAAAAAAAATCTCCAAAACTCTCCTAATATCTACGATGGAACTGGGCATATCATAGGTCCTCAAAAATATTAATATTCAAATAAATAATTAGTAAGAATAGTCTATGTTATAGTGCCTAAAACATAGTGAGAGATGAAAATACTTTTAAGTGAATGAATTAATTAGAATTCCAAAAATTTCTTTGTTGAATTACATTTGCAATGAATTACTCACTATTAACTGCTTTTTGTTGGTAGTTCTCATGCTTAATGATTCACTGACCACTCTGAGTAGTGTTTTGCTACATTCTATAGAACTTTAAAAGCTAGAAGATTCTCATATTTGATACTCAATGTAGTATAAGACAAATGATAATGACTATTTTTTTTCAGTATCTGCTTCAGGACAGTGTTGTTGATTGATTTACTTTTGATCTCAGCATCAGAAGGGCCTTTGGTGATCACCAAAATCTCACTTTGTTCATGAATCTCCTCTAAATTGTCTGCAACAAGTGTCCATCCCGTCACTGCTTGTTCCATTTCTGACAGCTATACTTTCTCTAAAAAATCTGTTTTATATCTAACAGAAATCTATTCTTTTAAATATTTATCATTGGTCCTGAAATTAATTCCTAGTCTGTGATTGCCTTTCATATATTTGAATATGTATCATTTAAGTGTTTCGAGGTTAAATATCCCTAGCCTCTTCAACTATTTATCTGGCTTCTCATCATCCTGCTCACTCTTCTCTGTTCTGTCTAGTTATTTCAGTATTCCTCTTTGTGGGGCCCTAAATTGTACACAGTTTTCCAGGTCAATCAATGATGAGTAAAACAGCCCTACCCTCTCTTTTTTTCCAGGTCAGTATGTTACCTAAAATTGCATTATTATTCCTATTAGACACATCATATAATTAATCTATATTGAACTTGCAGCCAATGAAAGCCCCCAAATTTATTTTCACAATTTGCTTTTAAGCTACTTCTTTCTTATCTTGTATTTGTAGTGCTAGTTATTTAGATGTGAGAACAGATCTTTACATATGAATTCCTACTAAACTTCTACCTCTAAGATTTTTATTTAATAGTTTAGCCTGTCCAGATCTTTCAGATATTTAATCTGTCACCCGGGAATTTAAATTTAGTAAGCATTCCAACTTTACCTTGTCCAAGTTATTATAAAAATGTTGACTAGGCTGTGATTAGGGCAGAGATTTACAGTATGCTAATAGTCCTGCTTTAGATTATATTAATCCTCCAAGAATATGGTTGTTTATTTAGTGGAGTCTGCAAGCTCACTTATCTCTAACTTAGACACAAGTCTTTTAATTTTATCATTCTATTAACACTATTTTAAAAACGATTTCATTCTTTCATAGCTTGCATACTGAACCAATACTTTAATTGTATCATGGCCTGAATGGCCTTCATGATTTGGTTTCTTCATTCCCAACTTCTCTATCTTTACTTAGTATTACTGGCTCCTTCCACTCTGCACTCAAATCACTTTGTTTCTGTTTCTCAAACACTCTCCTTCATGCCCCAGTACCTTATCACATGTTTCCTTATCTTGGATTCTCTCTCACCCTATCCTCTTGGCAGGCTATTGCCTACTTATGTTAAGGTCTTTATTTAAATATTACTTCTGAGAAACTTTCCTGACTCTCTCTTGCTCCTATTCCCCTTCCCTATCTCATCTAGGGTGGTGTATTTCTTAGGGTTATCCATAGAAACAGAATCTATTTATAGTGTCTCTCTCTCTCTCTCTCTCTGTTTCTCTGTCTCTCTCTTAATTTGTTTTAAGGAATTGGTTCACGTGATTATGGAAGCTGAGAAGACTCAAGCTCTATAGTTGGCAAGCTGGAGATCCAATAGAATCTATGCATAGTTAGTTACAGTCCAAGTTACTCAACCTTTTTGTTCTATTCGGGCCCTCATTTGATTGAATGAGGCCCACCAACATTAGAGAGGCCAATCTGCTTTACTTAGTCTACTGATTCAAATATTTATCCTATCCAAATGCTTAAACATCCTCACAGACACACTCAGAATAATGTTCAGCCAAATGTCTGGATACCCTGTGATCCCATCAAGTTGGCACATAAAAGTAGGCATTATAGATGGGTATCCCTGTTACATTCATAGCACCCTGTGTATAGTAATTATCACAACTGCAATTAATAAAACGACTTGGCAGTTATTTGTTTAATGTCTGTCTTTCATCTAGAGTGTAAACTACATGAAGGTGAAGATTTTGTAAACTTCTCTGTATTCCCATGTTCAGCATAGGGCTAAATAACAGAGTAGATATTGTAAAATAGTATAAAAATTAGGGGGCTGGGCATGGTGGCTCACACCTATAATCCCAGCACTTTGGGAGGCTGAGGTGGATGGATCACAAGGTCAAGAGATTGAGACCATCCTGGCCAACATGGTGAAACCCCATGTCTGCTAAAAATACAAAAATTAGCAGGGCATGGTGACACGCACCTGTAATCCCAGCTACTTGGGAGGCTGAGGCAGGAGAATCGCTTGAACCCAGGAGGTGGTGGTTGCAGTGAACCGAGATCACGCCACTGCACTCCAGCCTGGCAACAGAGCGAGACTCCGTCTCAAAAAAAAAAAAAAATATTAGGGATGCTGCCTAACATAAGTGGAAAATTCAGGCAATGAGAGAGGGTCTAGGTCTAGTCAAAATGCTCCTCCTTCTTGGGTGCTCTAAAAATGCCTAGTACTATCCTTGTACATCTAGCACTGCTCCTGTTCTGCCAAATGTGGAATTCTGCAATAGTTCAGACTGTCTAGGCTCCAGGAACAGCATTGCTAATGGAAAATTATATCTAACGGAAATCTATTCTTTAAGGGGTTTAGGGTGTTTTAGGGGGGTTGGGGGTGACTCAAAATGATATAAACTGTAGCCTAAAGTCAAGCCCCAGGCAGGGATATATATATATATACATATATATGTATATGTGTGTGTGTGTGTGTGTGTGTGTGTGTGTATTCATTCACTCTGATTCCTTTCATAACTTTCTTCAGGAAAGAAATTGTGAGCCAAGGCAGCATCCACTCATAATTTTTTTTTGCCTTGTTTTGGATACTAAGTAATATAATTCTCTTTGACTTTTAAATAGAATCATTTAAAAGCAAGCAATCATGAATTCTAAATAGAGGACTTAAATAGGAGGTTTGTAAACATTACATGTTCTCCTACTTTGTCTCCTACAGATACACCCATTTATCTGGGAAGGGGCATACAGATTTGGCAGTACCTTTCTTAAAGACAATAGATGGTAGCCACAGTGTATTGTGACCTAGTTCCCACTGGAAGAAATATTGTTTATATGTTGGTGTAGGAAATCTCAAGCTCCATGTAGGGAGCTTGAATCTCTCTCCATGCAAGAATCTCTCTCTCTGTTCATTAAATATTTGTTTAGTAGTCAGTGATCCCATGTTGGGTCCTAATGATTACTGTATGTTTTCCTGAGTGTTCACAAACTGTTTTATAATCTGTTCTACAACTTTTTAGGGAATTAAGATTAGGCTTATGGATAAAGTTTCTTCTTTAAATTTAAGTGTATTTGCCTCTCTTCAATCATTGAGTTCCTTAGCATTTACCTTTACTTTTCAAATTTTATGAAATGTAACAATTTAGGTCTCTTGCTGAAGAAGGGTGCTAAGTGCTGGCAATAATTAATCAGTCCTTAAATCTCTCTAGGGCAAGACTTGGTATACACAAAGGCAGCCAGTTAAGAGCCTGTTGTGTCGGAAAGATGCTGCTCAGGAAGTCTTCATTCCTTGGACTTGCAGTCTCTTTGACTTTTCCTTGGTTCCAGGGTTTCTTAGACATGGTCCTCAGGGTCTTCTAGTGACTTCCTGGCATAGGACTTCATCTACCCTTGTTGCTTATGTCAAAAACAGAATGTGGTTAAGTAACCACTAATTTATATTTTTACTATTGATCTACAGAGGTTATCAAGAATTTTGCTAAGGCTTGAGTTTTAAAAGTGTTTTAATGGCAGTTGGAGATCTCCCATTATATAATTGGATCACTGTCATCTTTTATTAAATATGTGAAGGCAGAACTGTGCAATATGAACATTCACAAAGTAGTCTAATTTATTTGTAGACTCTTTAATATTTTCAGAAATTCCCTGTTGAAATCTTTAAAACATAAGCCCTCTTTTATATTCATGAAGATATAATCATCACTCCTAGTTTTTGTTGGGGTACACTTGTTTTAGTCATTCATGTAATTTTTAAACCAAATCCTTGCTTTTAGAAAATCCTTAAGTTTGTCTTTCTGTCTTCTGGTTTTTATGTCTCTTATTTTTCAGCCTTAGAACTCTAAAGCCAAAAATCCTATTCTGACCCTAATGACTTGTCCATGATCCCAGAAGTTTATTATGAAATATATTGTAATAATTGCCAATGAAAACAAACAGCCTAATTGCTACTACCTGTTATAAAACAATGTCTTACATAGCTCTCAGCATTTAACAGTTATGTAAAAGAACACAACTCAGCAGAGATTATCTTTCTCCTAAGAGTTTTTAGAAGAGAGAAGAAATCGTAGACAAAAATATGTAAAAACACTAATTATAGAAGATTCTGTCTTTGTGAAACAAACATGGAGAAATAAATGTCAAAGGGAATCCTCCATTTTTATTGCTGAAACGATTAGGGCTTTTTTTAGTCTGTCACATTTAAAGTATAAATCTCTCTTGACATATCTATTTGCATCTTAAATAAATCATTAACATGTAAGTAATATGTTGACTTAGTATTTACATTCAAGGGTACCAAACTGTTTTACTCACATTAGCTGACTTTTAAGTCTCTGAATTAGGTATGTTTGTTCTGGGTATTATTATTATTCCTACTTTGAGTCTTAAAAGAAGGAAATAAAAGAACAAAAAGGTTAACTACATCTTTAGACTTGTATTAATGTGACTGTACAATGTAACAGTGGAATTTCAAGACATTTTATAATTAGCTTGCTTTTGAATGTTATTTACATATGTAAGTGCTTTGTGTAATTGATCTTATTCCTATGTTTTACTTTGTTTTCTATTACTTATTTTCTGACTGAGTCAAAAGTTAATTTGTGCCTAATTTAATACCATTTGGGTTAAACTTTTTGGGATAGTAATATAAATACAAATACTCTCAAGTAATAAAAATGTCAGTTATTAGATCAAGTAATTATATAATGACATTTCTAAAGACCATTACTTCTATTTTAGGTTAGATTTATTTGTTGAGTTCTGTGCATTATCCTCCCTAAAACTAACTCTAAGATAATACTTTAAGTTTTTGTATGGAACTTTAAAGTTTACAATACCATGTCATGCATTTTCAATTTTATGTATTGGTATAGGCCATGGCCACATAAAAATTGACTAGGTATAGTTAATTCTCAGTATTTCTTTAAGTAATCTTAAATTGCATGTATGCCAAACCAATTATTTTACATTACTACTAAATATCAAATATTTTAGAAGTCCAAGAAATTGAGTTCACAAAATCCTTGTATTTTCAAAGACACACACACACTATTATTTTTGTTGAAGGGGAAAGAAAGATCAGACAATAGAATCCCAGCTTATTTCTACTTGTATAAATCAAGTCATTTAAATAAATGAATTGTGTATGCTGACCTGTTCTACCAATGTGCTACTGGGGATGTATGAAAAAAAGATGTGCATGGTGGTGGAAGTAGAAAGAGGCATAAAGCGTATTGGAAAACTACCAAATGTCCCCTGCAAATGGGCCCTATTCAGAATCAGTAAGCGTATGATGAGTGAAGTGGTTTTGAATATCGCCTTTAGATTCCATGCTGTTACAAGGCCAGCCCTGAACATGGCAACTCTTATTTCCACACACAGTACCTCTTCACTCTCAATTTAACCCCCAAATCTGATGAACCCATTACTCCATACTTGATTTCATGGAACAAGGAGTAGATATAGTTACAAATGATCAATCACAAGCCGTGAACCAAAGCAGCAAGGCATTAACAATTCACACCATTTCGGTCCACTTGCTCAAGCAGAAGATGTGCCAGCATATTTAATGCACAGCTACTTCGTTCAGTTTAAGAAAAAAAACATGACTCAGGCTGCATTTTCAAAATGGAGAGGACTTTCTAAGATTTCATACCTCCTAAGCCTTAATGTCAACATTCATCCACACATCAGCAATTAAAATAACCAGGTGTCCTATAAAGGTCATAATGTCCAAATTAAATTTTACTCAGGTAAAAACAGTATGACCTATGAAATTCTTCCTGCAATGCATCACTATTCTGTTTGATCCTGTCGTACAAATCAATGTCTCTTACAGCAGTATTATAACACTGTAGACCCCACAGGCAATATGCCGTCAGTTTAATAGGATCACTGAAAAACTAAAGCAGCTGTGAAAGATTGCTCTAAGTATAGCAATCATGTGCTTGTCATTTTGTTCAGTGGAGGAAAAATCCAAATTTGGGTAGGCATTGGTATTTAAGAAAACCACTGCTAAATCTTTTCTCATAAGTACCTTAGGGACAATAAGATTTGACATATAGCATGTAAACAAAAGTACACAGCAGCTGTTAGTTTAGTTTTGTTTGGATAAAAATACACTGATATAAATCAAGCAACACAGGAGACAGTGTGTTCTCCGTCATTCAATCTTCCCTGCAGACCATGCTTTTGAATGGTGTCTGATGGTTGCTGTGGGACCAGGAGCTTTCCAACTATTTCGTAAAGCTGGATAAGGAACATTAAAATACACACATACCTTGGCACTAGCTCAAACTCCCTGCAGTCATACTTCCTGGACTGGGAAGCAGTCACATCTTAGTATCTTTTAAAAACTTACCTTGTTTTGACCAAAGAAGACTTTTTAGGTCAACTTCATTTAAAAAAAAAAAAGCCAATTGAATAGGTTGAATTGGTGGGAAATTCCCAAATGTCTTGGTGTATTTCTAAATGATATCTTGTTAGCAATAGCCAAGTATTTTAGAAGCTGGATCTGCAGCTTGCTGCCAAAGAATATATAGAAGTTTCTTTATAGGTAACTATACTCTGGGCAGTGTGCTTTTCTTTCATAGTCTCATGTACTCTGACTGAAATGTGAAAATTACAATATTATGTAAATTATGGTTATGGATATTTAATTGGCGTGACTTAATTTTTTATTGTAAGCAAGTTATTAAAGCCTTTGATTATTCCCTGTGCTTCTTGAAATGCTATTAACAAAAAATCCTGATCTTTTTAGCTTTCCATATTTGATTGAAATGCAGTATGCACATGGCCCTTTCAATGTAGGATGTTGCTTTTGGAGAGGGATATATATTCCCTCGGTATAGATCATGACAGAATATTCCAGTCTAAATCTGATAGACAAATTTGATTAGCTTTGTGGTTTCTCTTTAGAGAGATTTTTGGTTCCTTATCATGTACTGCCTCCATTATGTATCCCAAGTAAGTTCACACTTCTTATCAGTGATGAAAGTTTTAATAGAAGATCCTCTTGAAGCCTGAACAGTTTATTTTCTTATTTAACATTTGAACTCATTTTTGGGGTTCTTAGAAGAAATTACCTTTTTTATTTAAAAGAGTTATTTTGACCTTAATCTAATATTATTGCTCTGTCATTTAAATTTTATTATGTGCCTTTTCCTATAGAAGCATGATTTATGACAAGGTAGGATAAAGTACATAAGAGTTTTCCAAGGACTTTTTAAAAATACCCATCTCTGGCCTTCTCCTGTCTAGTTAATGCTTCCTTCCCAAATCTTATGGCTTTCTTTTTATATTTATTTTCCTCCTTAGTCTTCATAATCATATAAGGAAAATTAAAATAAAAACAATTGCACACATCCTAAATATGCTTTGAAATTCGGGTATATTCATGTTTATTTAACAAATTCAGATCAAATTTTTTTAGGTTATAGAAAGTTACAGGTTCTAAATGATCATGGATAGTTGTAGTTATGTTCTTAAAACTTACCCAGAAGACTGTCTACAGTATATCTGCAGTACCATTTATTCATCTAGTAGACATTTGTTGAGCACTGCTTTCACTAAACTAAAAAATATCGTGACTTCAAACTCCAAAAGGTTTTAGGATTTACTGGGGGATGAAAGTGGGAGGGGACAAGATATGGACTAATACAAATCAATAAGAAAAAAAAAAAGAGAGAGAGAATGCTATGGGAGGCATAGAGGAGGGAGCAATTAATTCTACCTAAATCATTTAGGATATTTTGCCAGAGGTGGTAACATTTGATATGAGCCTTGAAGGACAAGAATATATTAATAGGTGGGGAAAGAGGGGAGGAAATGGAAAAGGAATGAAACAGCGTGAGTGAGAAAGGTATTGGTTGATAATTATGAAATGAATATAGCTACTAGTTTTGGTTATATAATCTGTTTACCTATGATGCTCACTACCAGCTCTGTCCAGTGGAGTTACTCTTTTTTGGTCACATGATTTATCAACAGCCTCAGTCTTAGCTCCAAACTCATTGAAATGATTGGATTAATTTTAATTTTGCCCTATAGTCATAACTTGAGATGAAACAAAAGGAATGAAAAGTAATCATCCACATAACTTTTCACCTTTCCAGGGGTGGAAGTGATCCCAATGAAATGATTCCATTTGACTGATGTCTGCATAATTGCTAAATTTAAGGGATGATTAACTTCCAAACCATTTAATATGAAATGTTGAGGGTTAGCTTAATGAAAATACACAAAAGAGAAGTTCTTACCACAATCATGCAAACAGAAGAAACTAGGTAGAACACCTGTAATAAAGGCCTTTCACATAAGAAGAAATGTTTATGTGTAGTTACGCACACAAATATTAAAAGACCATAGGATAACTTTCTTGAATGAGTCAATATTTCTACATAGTAGTTTGAATATTTCTACATAGTAGTTTGAAGACAGAGAAGCACATGGTTGGAAGGACACAAAAATAATAAGGGAAAAAGAGAACTCTACATAAAAGAGAAGAAAACCATTGGTTAAGAGCACTTATGAGCTATGATTTGGTATAGAATATTAGGAATATCCACTAAAACACTTAAATAACTAATTCACATCCAGTTAAAATCTATGGGTTGAGGTTAAAAAGTAGAGCGACTTCTTTTTTAAAAAATCAATTATTCAATAATATTTTAAAAGTATGTTTTAGGCCGAGGCTCCTTTTTAAATGGACAGTTCTTTAATTCTAACTGCTTAATAAATATTATTATTTTTTAGTATAACGTAGGCTGATTTATACATCATTTTTAAGTACTTAGGCGTATCATTTTCTTATGTTTTCTGTACCTTCCTAGTTAGTGGAAACATTGTTTGTTCTTGGAGTGTGCTTTGTCTTCCTTTTCAAGAAGATCATCAAAGTTACTAGTTTGCAGCTTCTAAAAAGAAAGAGCCTTCTAATCCCTAGTTCAGAGGCTAACCTTTATTAGTGCTCTGGTGGTTATAATGAGGACCCTGCTTCCTGCAGGGAGATTCTGGAATACTGAACAGATTATTCAACAAGTTCAGAGCAGATTCTGAAGTCCCTTATAAAACCTGCTTGTGAATACTGCTTTCTTTGCTTTGCTGTTTCTGGTTTCCATAGTATTCCTAATTACATAAATCATGTGGAACATGGGAGCTGTTTTCCATCCAGTAGCAATTCTGACACTGCTTATGCTGTGGTATAATTTTATTTTATTTTCTAAGCTGTATTTTTTCTAAAATTCTTGTGGAGAGTATAAACTTTGAAAAACTTAGAATTTTTGTTGTTAGATCTAGTAAGTGCTTTTTTTGGAATCCCTTGAGCTGACATAAATAATCTGAAAGTTATTTTGTGACAAGCATAGGTAGAGAATCTGATAAAATTTTCTCATGTTTAAATTCAAGATTAACTCTAGGGTGTAAATCATTCAAGCTTATCACCTACTGCTCAATTTATTAAACTTTATTTCAACTTAATATCTATTTATGTAGTGCCTTTCAATGTTCAAAAAGTATGCCAGGTTCAATGAGTATACCAATTAAAGGTGTATGAATTAAAATCTAACACATAGTAATATATGAATGTGTAGCAATAAACTAAAAGCACTGATGATTCTTAAGCTAGGTTTCTTTTGAAAAAATTGTAATCAAGGTTGCTTTATATTATACATTTTTAAAGGTTGAAGAGTTATAATTCTGAATATAAGCTCGTTTATCTTTTAATTTTTATTGCTTTTATAATATTTATGATCTTATATTTTTTTAAGTTTGAGTTGTTTGTTATAAGACTTAGAAAAGCAATTACTCTAAGACAGTATAAAAATGAGGTTGATAGATGAATTTCAGGAATTAGTTTCTCAAGCTAAATAAGTGAATTTTATGCACACATCTAAGAAGATGTTTCAATAGTCATTGGCTCATAATTTCCTCTTAACTTTATACTATATTAGTAACAAAATCTTGAACCCTGTTTTCAACATTCTCCTTAGTGTTGAACGTATTAGACAGACTTTAAATTATGCTTTGGTAGAGAGTTGTGGAACTTAGTGCCATAAAATGCATAACTTTTTTACCAAGAGCAAAATTTAGCAGAATACCAGTAGCAAAGGCTATTTGCATAACTCAGCCTCTCAGCAGCTCAGCTGAACCTAATTGTAATTCAATTTCCAGATTGCTATGCTAGGCCTTTCTGCATAAAATATGCAACATATAACATAACTAACGGCATGACCTATTTTCTTTGCCGGACCTATTTTCTTTGCCGGTGATCTATTTAATTCCTTTTTCTAGCAGAAATGTGTATCAGAATAAGGTAGCCAATACCTATAGTTATTTTGCATGTTTAAGTTTGTGTCACATGTATATACTTAAATAATGACCAAGTAAAGAAAAATATCATTTACTTTTTCTGGATTCCCAAGTGTGCCATTTTTATTTCTTGATTTCTGGCTTTTCAGAGGAAAATTAAATCTTGAAAAATGTTAGCTAGCTGCCATGTTATTGGACTATTTTACACTAGAAAGACTTTATTAACTAATCGTGTGAAAAAGTGTATAAACATGTTTGTCAACTCCTTATGGATGTTGCAGTACATACCCATAAGTAAATATCTTTTATCTATTTACAAAACGCATGCTGGAATAGCATTCCTAAATCCTTGACTGTTTCATATTCCAGAAACTGAAAAAAGAAAGGTATGATAAAATGCTTGTTTAAGATTCTGCCCCCTGTTTTTAAACAGTCTTGCCACGCTGTTGTATGGGTTACTTAAGGAATGCAACAAAAATCATGAAATAGGATGGTTTATAAAGGTGTGGATTATATTTTATGAATAATTTCCAGATGCGATGTTTTAGGTATATAGAGTGCTCTACAAGAAGCTATGTACAGAAACAACATGGATCTTACAGTTTTATCAGGACAATGCAAGTAGGTTTCAGCAAGGTTGGTTCCAACTCATCTGTGATAAATGAGAAGATAAGGCAATCAGTGCACACCATGACACTCTGTGCAGCTAGTTAGGCACACTTCAGAACTATTCAGGTGTGCTCACAAAGCTTATGAGTCTTGCATGGGGGGTGTCTCAATATAAATACATCCTTCATGGTGGCCACTAGTAACGCAGGAATTGCCTCTCTAAGACTTAACCCAGGTCAGTTATAAATAATAGATGTTAAGAGTTAGCTCTGGTATTGGGGCTGTGTTCCAGGCAGTGTATTTCGGTTGGGTTGGGTCAAAAGAATTTTTTTCCCTTCTTTTCTTGCATAGTTCCTCTGCTTGAAAAATGCCTGCAAAATTCCATCACACCTTTGCGAGGACTACTTTGGGTCTCTAAGGGAGAAGGTTTCAGCCCCTCAGGAGCTAAGATGTACATCCAAGGAGTTCTTTTGGCCCTGTACCAACGATTAAAGTCTGCAAAAAAATATTATAAACAGGTGAGTCATCCCTCTTTAAAAATTTCTTTATTATATGTTTTAAAAATATACTTGGTTGTATAGAGGCAATGATTGGCTTTGTGTCATAAAAGAACTGTGACATGTATTTTGTGAGCTCAGTGCCTGTTAGGGAGCCAAAAATGCTGTTTCTGTAATCTCAAAGCCAACAATAATGGAGCTAATTGTATCTGTCTTTTGGTATAAGATGTCATATGTCTCATCTTTTCTTGCAGCGCATACTGGGCAAAGTGAAGGCAGCTTCTTACATGGAAATTCTATAGACAATTACTTTAAATAAGAGAATAAATAGCTCCTAAGTCATTTGAAGGTTGAAATGTTTAGCATTCTATTTTTTTCCAGCATAAAATCAGATTTATGGGGGCTAGAATACAACAAATCACATTCTGAAAAATGAAATCGTGAATCAACTTCATGTCAAGAGTAGCTTACTTCATTTATCCTTATTTAACTTGTCTGTTTCAGGAGTCAAAAGTATAGAAACAGAGTTAGTTTATTTGAATCAGGTTAAACCGGATTTTGTCCTTTAATTCCTGTGTATTTATTTCATGTTTGTATGTGTGTGGGTAAAGGCTGGTATTTTTATAATCATGTATAGGGACTTTTGATTTATCTTAAAGTAGGATTCACATTTGTAAAGCAGAATAACTGATGCCATTTATAACATAAAAATGGAATTGCCACATTTAAAAAATCCTCTTTGTACTTGGTTTTAAGAATCGAAGCACATGTTTTTACCAAGCTAAATGAGGACTAGGTTTTATATTTTGAACTGGGAGGTTCCAGTTTAGAACTGGGCTCATTATCCGAGACCACAGACTGCTGAAAAATGAATATTTTGAAAGCATCATGCTATATTATTCTCTGCTTGCAGAGAGGAAGGGGAGGTGGGAATGGGCTATCAGTCTTAGTGTTCACACAGCACCTCCTGCTGTCGAGTTTGGAAAAGAACAACTTGTATTGACTTTGGAATAAAGTGTTGTACTAAGGTATCCAGAACTAGCAAAAAACATCTTCCCAAGAAAACTTCGCAAAATGTGTTTGGTTTGTCTCGTTATATTCAGCAAATCCAGAAACAGGATTATAATTATCATAGATAAGACTATTCATAATAATACAATGAAAGAAAGAAAAATCCAAACGAATGTTCTTTATTAAGCCATTATATATAGAAACTAGTATAAAATATTTTATTGCATTTAGATTAAATTATTGTAGTTGAAATATTATTTAAGTTTTAAGATATCATGATATTATAAAATGGATCATGATTAATTGCATTACAATAATTTTTTGGAATTAATGTGGTTTGATTCCACTTATTGAAATTTAAAATTATTTAATGTTAGAAGAAATAATGAGACAATTCTCCAATTCAGGAAAAGCACTGTTTAAATAAAATCTAAAGACAAGCTTAAACATTTTCTAAGTTTTATTTCAAGTAAGGATGTTAGAAATAAGAAACATCCCAGAAATAATGGCATGTTTTTCTTCCACTGTCTTAAACATGTAAAATTTAAAGAAGTATAAATTGCTATACTAGATTTAAAAGAGCTCTGTGCATTGTAAGAAAAAAATACTTTCAGAATTACTTACTGCTTTCATTAAAAAATTCTTTATGACTCAAAATTGATGAAAAATATATTTTATTAAATATTAAATTATGAACAAAATTTAACATTTTAGTGTCTCTGTGATTGTCTGTTTGGGCAGTCTGTAAAGATTTCAACATTATATGAAATTTAAGAATATTTTGAAACCTATGCTCTTTGCCATTTCTCCTAAAGCTTTTTTCTTCCACTAAGTTGTAATAATTCATAGCTTTACATTCAGCAGTTTTAATATGATACTTAAGTTTTATTTGGAAATATAAAAATGAAGAAAAATAAGCAGAAGTTTGCTCATTATGTATTTTTATGTAAATTTCTGTTGCTTTAGATGTGCTCTATTTTATGTATGCTTGAGGTTTTCTTCTTTTGTAGTGTTATATTAAGACTTAATTTAAAATTATTTGAATGTTTAGAGAAGTCCCTGTAGTCATACCCTTAACAGACCATCAGTGCTTAGGTGTTAAGCCTGACAATATCTTTATTTGTGAGTGGGATTTCCTAGCAAATATCCTTCTTAAGAATTAATGAACTTTGTTTCAACTACACTTACTTCATTTGACCTTTGGTATAGCCTTTTCTATTTAGTTTTATATAAGATTGTTTTAAAGAATCTTTAGATAGGTGAAATGGAGGTAGATGATGATTCCTATTTCCTTAACAAATTAAAGTTTATAAATCGTATGATTAGATTATTCTTGATATTATTTCAATTTATTTCACTTTTGAGACCACATATAAAAACAACAATATTATCTTGATGTCTGTCGAAATATAAGCTTTAAATTTTGTCATTCCCAAAGGAAATTTATTTTAAATAAATTGCGATAATATAGCTTTAAAAGAAAAGTCAGGGCTACTGGTTTTATGTTTACAAACTTACTCATTTTTCAATTTTTAACTTTAGCTTGGCTGTTATAGCATGCAACTGATTTAAGCACACTACATTAGGGTGGTCTTAAATATATACTGATTCGTGTGTATTAAAATGAGATATTTTATTTAGAACAGCACAAAGTCACTTAGACATACATTTATCACATTTATTTCCTTAAAAGTGGAAGCATCTTGGAAATTGCTTGGAGCTAAGCAGAATCTATTTAATTGGTAATCTTTGCAATTGCATAAACGCATTCCTATGAAATGTAGTTAACACTTTCAGCGACAGGGCCGTTCCATCTCATTAGCATTCTTGTTATGTAGTGGTGCTGTTGGTGGGGGTGTTGAAGTAGGAATGCCATTGTGTCGAGTTCTAGTGTTTGGGGACAAACACTGCTGTGGAAGGAACGTGTGAAAAGGCCACAGTCCTGTCAGTGAATGAGGAAGGCTGTGCTTTCTGTGTGCTTCAAGCAGGGAAGCTGTCATTCATAGGCCTAACACAGCTAAGGAGAGGCCAAAACACAAGGCTGCACTACCTTTTAAAATGATATTAGTGATTTTTAAACATGATGTTCTTTATTTATCATCCCACATAGAGCTTTTAGTTGCTGTCAGTAAACAAAATATGGCAGTCTGTTGAGAAACACTGTAAAGATGCATAAACGTGCATGGAGCTGTGCCAGGCAGCTATACAAGTAATGACTCAGAATGGCTGATGGGCAGTGTTAAGTACAAATGTGATTTTTGAGAAACACTCATTTCTGAAAATGTCTTCCCAAGTTTGAATTTCCCCGCCAACCAACAAAATTCCTGGAGACTTTTACATAAGAATGCATAGTACTTTTTTTTTTTTAAATACAATTTTTGAAAGCACTCATAAACTTTCAGTTTTAATCATTTAAAGCTGTTCACAGTATGGCCTAACAGTTCTTATAGATTGCATAGTTATTTTTGAAATTCAGAGAGAAAAAAGGGAAATGAGTATCTATTATATCATGGTAAGCACCATCTTAATTAGGAAGAGTCATAGCCCCTGAATTCATTAAGCCATGAAAAAATGTGAATCTGTGAATTTAAGAAATCTTAAGGAATTTTTAATTCTACTCCTAGTTTTTAGCACTTCGGAATAAAATGATTGTTTGATATTAAATTTTAGCTGATTTGATTACTTAAAGCAAAATAAATAAACCAAAGTATTCTCCAATATTTCTTAAATTCTTGGGGTATTTTCTAAACTTTGGTAGTGTATTGAAAAACACTGCAATTTCTATTTATGTCTGAAGTTGTGGGAAAATGTTTTATTTCTGTAATTTTAATTTTGAAATGTGTATTTGAGCTATTTGTAGTAAATCATTACTTAATAAAGTTTGTTGAGGTTTATATAATTTTTGGCCCGAGTGATTTAAATTTAAATTTTTTTGCATGTATGTAGTCTCTTTTGTTTATTAATTTAAGCAAGTTAACTTTTTTGGATGCTGTTATATATGTTATATGTAAAAGTTCTATATTTGGCATATTGTGTTTAGCAATCTCAGGTACTGAATTTCTATTTCAAAAATTAGGTTTTACTTTTTAAATTGTAACAATATTGCAGATTTATTTTGTGGGCATATTATTTGATGAGGAAATAACCATCTAGCTTGAGTATATATTGTTTTTGCAGTTTAAAATTGAAATGTATTTTGTTAACATACTAAAACTAAGCTCTACCAAAGCACTTAGATTTTGTTTAAAAAATTGTGTAAGTTAATGTTGGCTCACTTTATCCACACTTTCAATAAGTTTGGTAATTAGGTATCAAACAATAGTATAATATAATTCTATCCAGAATTGATTCATCTCAAAATATGCTTGAATTACATTTATTATTGACAAAATTTGTTTATTGCATAAAGTATTTTAAAAGGAATCTTAGTATTTTAATTTTTCAAAAAAGAAGTGCTTGAAGTTTGTCTTTTCAGATCCTGTGTCAATTAAAATAATTTATTGGTTCTACATCATTGAATGAATAACTATCTCTATTTCATTTTCTGTATATACTTTAAAAATTGAGCTGTTTCTTTGACTTAGCCTTTCTGTGACAACACTTAAAATATTTCAGTTTTTAACAAACTTCCTAATTATCCTTTGAAACCTTGGAACAAAATCTATAATATATAAACATAATATACTATTAAAAACATGAAAATAGTGTGATAGTCATTTCGAGATGAAAACTACTTCTGAAGGTTCTGGTAAGTAATTTTTTTTAGAATATTAGGTTGTTTGTAGATTTGAGTGATTGTTGATTTTTTTTTTCCTGAAACCAAGCTGCATTCTAGTTACTTGAAGTATTTTAAGAACCTTAAACTTGTGTCTCTTTCTAAGTGTCATGCTTTGAGCAGGCCTAACATCAGTTAAATGAAGTGAAAATTGCATTCTTGTCTTGATAGAGATGAAAATGGATTTCTGGTCATGAAATAGATGTAGTTGTCACTTTTTAAAAAAGGTGTCAGCAGTTTGCTTCAGTGAGTAAGGTGCCAATTCAGTATGGCAGTAAACTTGTGATCTGAGCAATCAATAAAATGCTTCAATAACTTCTGCTTCATTACACTTATAATAAGAGGCTATAGATCCATGGCACATAAAATGTTGATAAAGAGGATATGTGGAGATCGACTGTGACAATTTTCTCAAAAGTACAGTAAGTGCAATATTGCCATCTAGAGTTTGTGCATAGGTAATTATTACAGAGAGGGGGGAAGTGACAGTGGAATAAAATAAGAAGTGATATTGAAATAGTGTTTATTTTCCATCATTTATCCATGACATATTTATCTTCATGGAACATTTCATTTGACTTGTCATAAAGCTGTTTAGGTCAGGAGAAAATTTTCAAATCTGTGTTTTTCTCTAATTCTCTTAGAATTATACTACCAAGTGTCAAATATGTATCTCTAGCTCAAAATTGAACTTTTTATCATGAAAACTATTTATTAAATAATTCACTTTGGAAAAAAATAGAGGTTTTTCTTTTTTACATGGTAATTCAGTTCTGTAAAACCAGAGAGCTTTATTGACATCTCAGCTGGGTGTCTTTCAATTAGAAAAATTATCTGTATTAATGTTAAACCTTCTCCAAAGAATAAGGGCCAACTTACGTTTCAAATGGTATTTTAAAATAAATATTTTTAACTTAAAAACTGCATCTCATAAAGGAAAGATAGACTTTTCTGCTTATGCAATTCTGAACATTTTGATGAAAAGTGAATTCCATTTGGGGATCATCTAGGAATATGTCTCCATCTTTATCAACATATTAAAAATATTAGTTATCACCTTACTTTTCTTGATTAATTAAAAATTATTTAAATTGTTTCATTTTATAATACTTTTTGAATGAACTAATATGGAAATATTTAAAAATCATTTATCCTCTGTACTTGTGACTGAATAGAAAATTTTATAAAAATCCCAATTTAAGTGTTTTAATTATAATACAGATAAAGTAAACTTAATATGGATACAGATTGACTTAACAAGGAAAGTTGTGTTTTTTTTTTCTACTCAACTCTCCCTTTACAGAATATGGACCATTTTTCTAAGTTTATAGAGGTAGGCACTTTAAGTTTCCCTGAGATGAATAATTTGGCATTAATATATTATTAATGCATTTTTTCTAATACACTGTTGATGTATTTGCTTTTTATGTCTGTGTGTGAATGACTTCCATAATTGTAAAAAATGGAAATGATTATAACCTAAATTTATTTTTATTTTCTGACCAAAAATTTATTCTCAGACATCCTAATGTTATATCCCCACTTATATTTAAGATCATTCTTTAGTTAGATGAAGATATCCTTCTTTAGTTAGATGAAGATATCTTATGTGGAAATTTCTAATCATATTGGGTAGAAATATTGCATTTTAAAAACTCCAAATAAAGATAGAATTGTCCAGGCAAAGTACTTGAAAGTAGACCTGACAAATGTTCTTTAAATTACTCAACCACCTACAGGTATTATTGCCTATGACTCTTTTGAAATGAGAATAAATTTTATAGAGTTACAGCAGCAAAGTGAAAGAGTGTGTTTGATAGATTCCCTGAACAGTTTCAACACCCACAGGTATTATTTGTAAGAAAACAATCATGCTGAGTCTTCAGCTGGTTAGAGAGGGCATAGCATTCTATCTTCACCTGACATCCTATCTGTTCTGTCAACATCCTGGGCCCCCTGCCTCCTGCCCCCTCCTCCGAAAACAATAATGCTCACTGAGAGGTTCGTGTGAACGGACAAGAATATGAATTTTTTTTCCTTGAAGAACTAAAACAGTATTGAATACACATTCTTAGTAGGAGGAAAACCAACTCTCTTAAGGATTGACTAGTATTTTCTATTTACTATTCAAATGGATCAGTGTTGTCAATGATTGCTAGTTAAGATCTTTGGTTCTTGAGAAGTCTGACTAATGATTGATAAAGCAATTGTAAACATCTTGGGTATCATTGCTTTGCTTTATTTTATTCAGAGACATATATAGTGGCTTCCTCACTTCTTGTTAGTAGCGTTAGTTCGAGTAAACATCAATCTTACAACAAACTTCTGATTTTCAAATAATAAAATTCATTCTTTGCTCTTATTTTATATATGTTGCAAAAGGTGGGAATTAATGTAACATTAATTTATTGCTCTCTTTCATAAAACTTTCTCAATTATGTTAGAAAATCAATTTTACATAACCTCCCTAAAATAATCAGTATCCTGTTACATTTCTAAAATATTTGAAGTTTCTGAACATAGCCAGTCATGCATGGAAAAAGGATATGGCAAGAGTTCATTTATCAACACTTAATATGTGTGACTGGGAAGTAAATGTTGAAAGCTTTAGAGAAAAGAATTACAGCATAAATAAAAGGTGCTGGAAAGGGCTTCAGCCTTGGCAAACCACAGGTGAGTTACATCTTTTAGAACTGTACAGCACAATACACTATCCCTTGTGTTTTTAAATTAAAATTAAATAAAATTGAAAATTGGGTTCCTCAGTCTCACTAGCCACATTTTGATTACTCAATAGCTACATCATCACTGAAAATTCCACTGGACAATTCTTTTTTAGAAGGCAAAAATTCGGTCAGATACTCCATTTATACTTCTGGCATTGGATTCCTCATTCTGTGATTAACAAGGTGACAAATCTTTTAACATGATCAGGATCTAATTTGGTGTTGGGTAGATAAGGTGCTCCAGTCCTCATAAAGCAAAACAAAGCAAATATTTTGAAAACAAAACAAAACACATATAGTTCACAATCTGTTTGCCTTCCAACCACCAGGTGGACACCTTTAGGCCCTTCAGTGTCTCTTAAGATCCTTATAAGTGAACTATATAGTGTGGCATCTTTGGGGACTACAATTCTACCAGTCACTGATTTAACCTTATCTTTTGGGTACCTCCCCACCCCCAAAAAGTAATTAGAGAACCAAAGAAGACAAACTCAAATGATGAAGTGTTGAGTACCACATATGTGCTCTGTCTGTGTGTTAACCAGTGTTGAAAATACAGGAGAATTCTCTAAGGCCTAACCCTCAGGAAGCTAACTTTCTTGTTTTGGAGACAAAGCATACCCATGTGAAGCTATTAGGAAATATGCTTATCAGTATAAAAATAAGTGCTAAAATATGTGATACAGATTCTATGTATTATGGGAACTTAAAAGAAAGACTAGCATGAATAGAATGAAAGTGAGGTTGAAATGAATTTTAAAGGCTGCATAATCCAGTCCTCTCATTTTATAGATAATAAGACAATAATACTTACCTCATTGAGCTGTTGTGAAGATTAAATAAGGTATATAAGACTCTTTTTTTTTTTTTTGAGATGAAGTCTCACTGTATCACCCAGGCTGGAGTGCAGTGGCACGAACTTGGCTCACTGCAACCTCCACCTCCCAGATTCAAGCCATTCTCCTGCTTCAGCCTCCCGAGTAGCTGGCGTTACAGGCACATGCCACCATGCCCGGCTAATTTTTGTATTTTAGTAGAGATGGGTTTTCACCATATTGGCCAGGCTGGTCTCGAACTCCTTACCTCAGATGATCTGCCCACCTCAGCTTCTCAAAGTGCTGGGATTACAGGCATGAGCCACCAAAGATTCTTAAAACAGTACCTGGAACCTAGTAAGTGCTCACTGGGGATTAGCTATCATCACCAGCATCTTTATTATTAATATTATAAAGTAATTAACACCAATGGCAGTAAGGTCCTTGTCTAAGGTGAGACAGCAAGATAGAGTTGTAATGGCACTAAAGCCTATCTTCATTAGCAAATGTAAGGCATGTTTTATTAACTGAAGTATGGGCAGAGTTTGAAAAGGAGATTGAGATAGGCAGTGGCATGAAGTCAGGAGTGAACAAGATTTCAAGCAGGTTATATGTGATTTTTAAAAAAGGATATCAGCGGCCTTTGGAAGATAATGAAAACTTAGAGTGAATAGGATTAAAGAAAAAATTGGCGTTAAAGAATTAAGGGCAGTGGGTATAGATAGGACCTCTCAGAGGCTGAGAGTGGTTATATTTTTTTAAAGTTCACAGCATATTAAATAATGAAGAAATGCCAAAACAGGATTTTAAAACTGTTAAGTATATTTTAGATGATTAACCTTAAAATTAACTCTATTAACAAAAAGCACAGTATGATATAATTGTTCTATTTACATGATAATTAAAAGATTTCTAAAAAATATTAATTCATAACCCATGTTGGGGGCATGATCTGGTGATGGGACAGATATTTCAAAATGACTGTCTTCTCCAGAGTATCCTGTCACTGTATGTGTAACTTCTTGATTGTATGTGTAACTTTATTTGCAGATAATGAAAAAGGCTAAATTTGTGGCCTATTTTGAATGTAAGACTAAGGTCAGAAGACCTTCCTCAGTCTCAGGATCTGAGATCCTAACGTGGTTGGATAGTGTGGATGGGGAAAGCAAGTCATTGAGTTTGGAAAGCATATGCTAGAGTTTACTTTAGGAAGAAGATACACACTGCAGGAGAGCAAATCCACTCACAGCATACAAGACATGCCAAGAAGTGTTTTCCTTATTTTGTTTAAATCTTATTTTATCTTTCACACATGGTGGTGGGAGAAAAGTAAAACTAAATTTGATTCAGACCAAATAATTTAACCAGCTTATTTAGGCAACGCTCAGCCTTTTGAATAAAGATGCTCAGATGTTCATCTTTCTGCCATTTTTTTTTGTGTTCCCTCCAAGAAGTCATCTGTGTTTATGGAGGAGAAGGGCTTATTAAGTAACAATTGGGGTTGTTCCCCTGAAGGTATACAAAGAGCAGGAGATGTACAGTGATTTTAAGAGAATAAATGTCCAGATTCCCAACTCCTATATGCACTTTTTACTAAAATGATTCTGCTTGAGAATGTGCCTGCAGTGTGAGGGAATGCCGTCTCTTTTCTCTTTTCCCATTTTCCATTCACCCTTTAAAAAGGCAAAGCACACCTCTTCCTCATCCTGAGTCTATTCTGGCATATCACCTTGTGGTGTAAAAACCTCCAGGCACCAAACAAAGGGACACTTTGAAAATATTAGTGTCATAAACTTGTGATAGGGCTCCAAATCTTTCCTTGCTGTTATATATGTATTTCTGTTAAGGAAGAAGTGGGATAGAAATACAAAGTTGAGGAGAAAAAGGAAGGATGTAAGCTTTCTGATTGTCTTAGCACTTTGGGAGGCAGAGGCAGGGGGATTGCTTAAGCCCAGGATTTCGGGACCATCCTGGGCAACATAGGGAGACACCATCTCTACAAAAATAAAAAATTTAGCCAGATGTGATGGTGCATGCATGCTTGTGGTACCAGCTATTTGGGAGGCTGAGGTGGGAGGATTGCCTGGGCCTTGGAGGTCGAGGCTGCAGTGAGGTGTGATTGTGCCACTGCATTCCAGCCTGGGCAACAGAGCAAGACCCTGTCTCAAAAAAACAAAAACAAAAAAATTTCATAACTTCCTGAATGTTAAAGAAGAGTTTTTTTCATGTTTTATTAAAAAAAATGGATAATTATTGATGTAAAACTGCTCTGGTATTTCACCTCACCGGATAGATTTTAAAAACCAATTTAACAGTTTTCTTTGGTAATGACAATATTTATAACATGCCAGAAATTACATACTTTGTAACTGTTTTTAAGCTAATGATAAAAAATTTTAAATGTCAACTTAAAATGTTGGTACATAGTTTTCTAAGTAAAGGTTACCCAGTTTTCTAAATTCTTTGAGATAGCATGTGAGTAAAATATTCTGGAGTCATCATGGTTCAAGGGAGAGAAAGGTGGTCCTTTGAGACAGATGGTGTCTGACTGCAGAGATGATTGGTCTTGTCTGTTGCTGAGGTCAGTAGCTGATGCTGGATGCTCTCTGGGTGGATGGGAGTGCACCCTGGACACTGCAGTCTTAGCTTGACTGTTGCTGAGTTAGTACCGCATTTTTCCATCTTGCTCTTGGCCTGCGTGAACCACCCCTCAGCCTCTGCAGTGTAGTAATTGTAGGCATTTTGTCCCTTAATATATTTTTTCTTTTTTTTTCTATTTTTTTCTTTTTGGCCCTTAATATTTTTTATGACTATTTTTTATTGTAAAAAAACATACAGCATTACATTCACCCATTTACCCATTTTTTAAGTGTACAATGCAGTAGTGTTAAGTATATTTACATTGTTTTCTTAATTTCCTTTTTGATTTCTCATTCTTAGTATATAGAAATGCAACCGATTTTTGTGCGTTAATTTTGTATCCTGCAACTTTGCTGAAATTATTAGTTGTAAAAGATTTTTGTGTGGAATTTTTAGGGTTTTCTATATGTAAAATAATCTCATCTGTGAACAGAGATAATTTTACTTCTTCCTTCCAAATTTGAATGCCTTTTATTTCTTCTTGTCTAACTGTTCTGGCTAGGACTTTAAGTACTATATTAAATAGTAGTGGTGAGAGTGGGCATCCTTTTCTTGTTTTTGATTTTAGAGGAAAAGCTTTCAGTCTTTTACTGTTGAATATGATGTTAACTGTGGACTTTTCATATATGGCTTTTATTTTCATCCATCTCTACTTTGTTGGAGTGTTTTTATCATAAAGTGTATTGAATTTTGCCAAATGCTTTTTCTGCACCAATTCAGATCATCATTGTGTTTTCTAGTCTTCATTTTGTTAATGTGGAGAATTACATTCATTTATTTCCTTATGCTGCGCCATCCTTTCATTCTAGATATAAATGCCAATTGGTCATTGGCCCTTAATATCTGAGGCCTTTCTGGCTTACAACTTTGCTACCTTTTTGTTTCCTGGGGACTGTGTGAGAATTTGTGGGTCTCATGTCTGATTATTCAGGTCATAATTTAGATAACATATTTTTTCAAATACTTTTTACTCCAATAATTGAGATTTTCATATACATATTTTTACTGTTAATATAGTGAATTACGTTGATTCATTTTCAAGTGTTAAACCTTATGTTTCTGAGATAAACATTACTTGTTCATGTAGTATTTACATATATATTATGTATTATCCTCCTTATATATGTTACTTGAATTGATTTATTAAATGCTATTAGTGATTTTTATATCTCTGATCTTGAGGGGCATTGGCCCATAGTTTATTTTTCTTTTAATATCTTTGTCTGATTTTGGTATTAGGGTAATGCTGGCTTCATCAAATGAGTTGAGATGTATTTCTTCCTCTTCTATTTTCCAAGTTTGTTTGCCACCTCTATTATTTCTTAAGTATTTGGTGAAATTCATTAGTAAAACCATCTGGGCCTGGAGTTTTGTTTACAGGTAGGTTTTAAATTATGAATTAAATTTTTTTTAGTAGACATATAGTTATTTATTTGTTTACTCTTATATTATTTCAACTTTTATTTTACATTTGGCAGGGTATATGTACAGGTCTGTTATATGGCTATATTCTGTGGTTTGGGGTACAAATGATCCCATCACCCAGGTAGTGAGCATACTACTCAATAAGTAGTTTTTCAGCCCTTCTCTCTCTTTCCCCCTTCCAGTATTCCTCCATGTTCCTATCTTTATGTTCAACATGTAGCTATTTATGTTACATAATTATTTTTGATCTTTAGTAGTTTAATGATCTTTGAAGGAATTTGTTCACTTAACCTAAATTGAAAATTTGTTGACATAAAGATGTTTATAATATTTATTATCATTCATTTGAAGTCTATAGAATTTGCTTTTTAATTCCTTATATTGGCAATTTCTAACCTCTCATTTTTTACTTAACTCGTCTAGCTGAGTTGATTAATTTTATTGATATTTTCCAAGAAATGGCTTTTCATCTAATTGATTTTCTATTTTTGGTCTGCTATTTATTTCATTGATTTTATGCTTCATTAATTCCTTACTTCTGCTTATGTAGGGTTTAATTGATATTTCTTTTTCTAGTTTCATAAAGCAAAAGCTTAGATAATTGATTTAGACCTTTCTACTTTTCTATTGTAAGCATTTAATGCTATAAATTTCCCTCAAAGCCCTGCTTTTGCTATGCCTAACAAATTTCAGTACGCTGTTTTCATTTTTCTTTAATTCAAAAGACTTTAAAGTTTTTCTTGTGATTTTCACATCTGTTATTTAGAAATATGTTGTTTAATTTGCCATTATTTTTGGGTTTCTGTATATCTTTCTGTAATTGGTTTCTAGTTTCCATTGTGGTCAGATAACATACTATGTATAATTTTAATCCTTTGAAAATTTTTGAGATTTACTTTATGGCTCAAAATATATCCAAATTAATGTTCCATGTTTGTTCTGTCTTATTGATTTGAGTGTTCTTCAATGTCAGTTTGTTCAAGCTAGTTGATAGAGTTTTTCACATCTTCTGTTATTCTTGTTGTAACTTTGGATTTGTCTATTCCTCCTTTCAGTTCTAACAATGTTTTCTAAATATATTTTGAAGTGCTGTTATTGGGTTTGTATTATTTTAAGATTGCTATATTTTATTGATAAATTAACTTAAAAATCCTTATGAAATGTTCCTCTTTATTCCTGGTAATATTCTTTGTTCTGAAGTCCATTTTGTTTTATTTTAATAAAGCTACTCCAATTTTCTTTTCACAAATGTTATTATAAAATAATGTCCTTTTACTTTTCTATCCTTTAATTTTAACTTACCTATATCTTTATATTCTGTCTTGTAGAAATAATATTTTGGGCCTTGCTATTTTCTCCATTCTGAAAATTTCTTTTAATTGGGATGTTTAGACCATTTACATTTAATATAATTATTAATATGACTGGGTTTAATTATTTTATCTTGTCATTTGTGTTTTATTTGTCTCATTTGTTTATCATTTTATCTTTTTAAACTGCTTTATTTTGGATAAAATAAGTTTCTTTGTGGTCACTTCATTGCTACTGAAATAGTTAGTATTTTTTTCCCCCCAAGTGTCATGTTGAAATGTGATTCCCACTGTTGGAAGTGGGGCCTGGTGGAAGGTGATTAGATCATGGGGGTAAATCCCTCCTGAATGGTTTAGCACCATCCCCTTGCTCAGTTGGTTCACGTGAGACCTGGTTGTTTAAAAAAGCCTGGAACTTCCCCCTTCTCTCTTGCTCCTCCTCTTACCATTTGATGTGTTGACTCTTCCTTCACTTTCTACCATGATTATGAGCTTCCAAAGGCCCTCACCAGAGGCAGATGCTGGAGCCATGCTTGTACAGTCTACAGAACTGTGAGCCAATAAAACCTCTTTTCTTTATATACTATCCAACCTCTGTCATTCCTTTATAGCAATGCAAAAATGGCCTAACACAGCTACCATAAGCTTATTAGCTATATCTTTTTGGCTTGCTTTGTATGCATGAGTGTATGTGTAGTTGCTCTAGGATGTTTTGTTTATATATTTAGCTTTTTATACTCCATCTTTGAATAATACTTATTCATTATAATGTAAGAAACATATGTTTTTATTTATCCTTCCTATTCTTTGTGCCACTGTTGTCGTCTATTTTATTTTTATCTGTTATTTTCCCCAGAAAATCTTGTATTCCTATATAAACAGAAAATTTTAAAAGAGATTTAAAAATGAGAAAAAATGTCTTTTTCTTCACCCACATACTTATGGGTTTTGATAGTCTTTATTCCTTAATAAATCCAAGCGTCCTCTTAGGTTGTCTTCCTTTTGCCTGAAGAACTTCTTTTAATGTCTTTTGTTAAAACTTTCTTTTTTTTTTTTTTTTAGAGATGAGATCTTGCTTTTTTGAGATCTTCCTTCCTTCTCATTGAGTTTGGAATAAGTCAGTAGATTTTCTTCCCCAGACTTTAAAGATGTTGTTCTATTCATCACAAGTTTCTGATGTAACATTGGATAGTATTCTTACCTTAGTACATCTTTATGTAATGACTTTTTCTTTTATTGCTTTTAAGAATTTATATTGATCACTTTTTTTTTTGGCAGTTTGATCATGAAGTGTCTTTTGTGTTTTTATTCGGGGGTTTACCTTCTTACAGTTTGTTGAATTTTTTGGATATGTGTGGCTCTAATTTTTGTTATATTTTTGGCCTTTATGTCTTAAAATACTTTTTCTATTCCTAACCCTCTTTCTTATTTTTCTGGACTCTAGTTACACAATATTAGTTTGCCATTTATTTTATTTTATTTTTTTTCCAGTCCTTTTTTCTGGGTACTTTATTTTGGTTTGTTTCTGTGATAGCCACCAGGCTGAACTAGGACATGAGTCACCTTCAGTTCTGCAAGAAGCCATTAGAGAAGAAAGCTGCAGATACAGCAGCTTGCCTGGAATTAAGTCATTATAGTTTCAAAATTCCAAATATAAGAGAAAATTATATTCCAAATACAAATACTATCTTTCCTCTTACATTCCTCAGCGTGGTTCCTTAAGTATTACATCATCAAGATTCTCCTATCAGTTCATATTTATTTCTCTTCATTCCTTAATACTAGAATCTGTTCTTAAGTCAAGCTAATATTATCACTGTTCAATAACCATACCATACTCCTTCCTAGCTCTGTGTTTCCTGTTCTCCTATATGGAATAGGAATGTACTTCTTTGTTTTCCTTATTTCAAAATAATGAAATACTCCAGACACGAAAGATTGGGTAAACATTTCTGTAAGCCAAATCCAACTCGATCAAATCCTTTCTTCAGATTTTTTTTTCAGGAAATAAAGCATATCTATATCTATATGTATCTAGGTAGATATAGATATATATCTACCTAGATATATATATATAATTTTTCTTCCCTGTGCTTCCTCTCTAGAGGTAACCATTATCTGAATCTCCAGTCATATTTTATATTATATATATTACATATATGTATATGTACATATTAGCATGTATGCATATGTATATATAACACATATTTACATATTTATATGTATATATTGTTATTCTTTTATTTTATTTTAATAGTTTTTTGGGGAAAAGGTAGCTTTTGGTTACATGGATAAGTTCTTGAGTGGTGATTTCTGAGATTTTGATGCACCTGTCACCTGAGCAGTTTATGCTGTACCCAATATGTAGTCTTTTAACCTTCACTCCCCCCCAACTTTCCCCCATGTCCCCAAAGTCCATTATATCATTGTTATGCCTTTGCCTCCTCATAGCTTAGCTCCCACTTATAAGTGGGAATGTAAAATATTTAGTTTTCTGGATATTGTATGTTCCTGAGTTACTTCACTTAGAATAATGACCTCCAGCTCCATTCAAGTTGCTGCAAAGGCCATTATTTCATTCCATTTTATGGCTGAGTAGTATTCCATGATGTATATATGCCACATTTTCTTTAGCCACTTGTTGATTGATGGGCATTTAGGCTTGTTCCATATTTTTGCAATTGTGACTTGTGCTGCTATAAGCATGCATGTGCATGTGTCTTTTTCACGTAGTGACTTCTTTTCCTTTTTGGTAGATTCCTAGTAGTGGGATTGCTGGATAAAATGGTAGTTTTATACTTTCAGTTCTTTAAGAAATCTCCATACTGTTTTCCATAGTCATTGTACTAGTTTACATTACCACCAGCAGAGTGGTACATCTCTTTTTGCCACATCCATGCTAACATCTATTATTTTTTGATTTTTAAATTATGGCCATTCTTGCAGGAGTAAGGTGGTGTCTCATTGTGGTTCTAATTTGCATTTCCCTGATAATTACTGATGTTGAGCATTTTCTTCATATGTTTGCTGGCTGTTTGTATATCTTCCTTTGAGAATTGTCTATTTATGTCCTTTTCCCACCCTTTGATGGGATTATTTGTGTTTTTCTTGCTGATTTGTTTGAGTTCCATGTAGATTCTGGATATTAGTTTTTTGTCTGCTGCATAGTTTGCAAATATTTTCTCCTACTCTGTGGGTTGTCTGTTTACTCTGCTGATAGTTTCTTTTGCTGTGTAGAAGCTTTTTAGTTTAATTAGATCCTATTTATTTATTTATTTTTGCATTTGCTTTTGGGTTCTTAGTCATGAATTCTTTGCCCATATCAATGTCTAGAAGAGTTTTTCTGATGTTATCTTCTAGAATTTTTATGGTTTCAGGTCATAGATTTTGATCGTTGATCCATCTTGAGTTGAGTTTTGTATAAGGTGGGAGATGTGGACCCAGTTTTACTCTTCTACATGTGGCTTGCTAGTTATCCCAGCACCATTTATTGACCAGGATGTCCTTATATATATATGTATATGTATATATTTACATATATGTTGTATTAGTCTGTTTTTGTGCTGCTGATAAAGACATACCTGAGACTGGGAAGAAAAAGAGTTTTAATTGAACTTACAGTTTCACATGTCTGGGGAGGCCTCAGAATCATGAAGGAAGGCTAAAGGCACTTCTTACATGGTGGCAGCAAGAGACAATGAGGAAGAAGCAAAAGCAGAAACCCCTGATAAACCCATCAGATCTCATGAGACTTATTCACTATCATGAGACTAGCATGGGAAAGACCGGCCCCCATGATTCAATGACCTCCCCCTACCCTAGGTCCTTCCCACAACATGTGGGATTGTATCTTGGAGATACAATTCAAGTTGAGATTTGGTGGGGACACAGCCAAACCAATCATATGTATATATGCATATGTGTATATTAAAGCATATACGTTCATATTTATATGTATATATTACATATATATGTGTTTTGCCTTTTTTGTACTTTATATAAATGATATACTATACATGTCACTCTGCACTTGCAACATTATATTTATGAGACATATTTATGCTGAAATATAAAGATGTTATGCATTGACTTTTAACTTCCACACAGTAATTTATTCATTTTATTGTATGAACATACTACAGTCTACTTATTACTTGTTGACAGACATTTAGTGTCTTTCCAAATTTTACTGTAACAAACAATGCTCCTACAAATATTTGTGTACTTTATGTAAAACTCACGTGCATGTATTAAAATTTCTCCAGGGTATATATCTAGAAGTAAAATTAGTATGAAAAAAGTATGCAGTATGCATATCATTGTGGGCTATTGTCTGTTTACATTATATGGCTATTGTATTAGTTAACACTTTCACCAGCAATTTATAAGATTCTCATTTCTCCTCATTTTCCCACATATGCATACATACATAAATACATACATACATACCCTTTGTGACTTATTTATCAAATAATAGTTAATGATATGTCTGAGCAATGCTAAAGAGATCAACTATGGATATGTGCTATTGTACATAATAACCATTCTCCTATTGTAATATAATTACATCATTGTTTTCTTTTCCTGAAATCAATTTCTTTGCAATTATTTATTCAGGATAATGTTCAAATTGAAAATTATTGAGTCTAAGTTGGTGACTGTATTAAACTCTTGGTAAGTCTTTCAAAATGATTGTACCAATGTAACTATTTCAGAATCATGTATAATATTTTAATGTTTGATATTTCAATATATACATAGTTTATTGTTTTTATTAGCACGAATTATATTACTTTCAAGGTTAAACATTATAAATATATCTGTTAATTAACAAAAATCTCTTTGCAATGGGCCAAATATTTATGTCTTCCCGAAATTTATATATTGAAGTCCTATCCCCCTGATGTGACTATATTTGGGAATAGGGCCTTTATAGAGTAGTTAATGTTAAATGAGGTCATAAGGGTAGGGCCCTGATCCAATAGAATTACTAGGCAAGACACCAGAGAGCATACACTCTCTCTCTGCCATATGAGAACACTGCCAGAAGACAGCCATCTTCGAGCCAGAAGAGAGCCCTCAGAGACTCCTCACCAGAACCTGACCATACTAACACCCTGATCTTAAGCTTCCAGCTTCCAGAGCTCTGAGAAAATAAATTTCCCTGTTTAAATCACCCAGCCTATGGTAGCTTGTTATAGCAGCCTGAGCTGACTAAGACAGATTTTGTTACCAAGATATGGAATATTGCTGTAACAAATACCTAGACATGTGGAAGTGGCTTTGGAACTGAGTGATAGGTACAGACTGGAAGAGTTTTGAGGTGATGCTGGAAATATGTATGTTAAGAGTAATTCTGGTGAGGTTTCAGTGGAAATAAGCAAGATGTTATTAGAAACTAGAGGAGGCCAGGCGTGGTGGCTCACTCTGTAATCCTAGCACTTTGGGAGGCTGAGGTGGGTGGATCACCTGAACTCAGGAGTTCTAGATCAGCCTGGGCAACATGGTGAAACTGTGTCTTCACTAAAAATACAAAAAATTAGCTGGACCTGGTGGTGCATGCCTGTAATCCCAGCTACTTAGGAGGCTGAGGCAGGAGAATCACTTGAACCTGGGAGGCAGAGGTTGCAGTGAGCCGACATCACACCACTGCACCCAAGCCTGGGTGACAGAGTGAGACTTTGTTTCAAAAATAACAAAAAACAAAAAACAAAACAAAAAACTAGAGGAAAGGTAATCCTTATAAAGTGGCAAAGAACTTGGTTGAATTGTGTTCTAGTGTTTCGCAGAAGGTAGAACTTACAAGTGATGAAATTGGATTTTCAGCTGAGGAGATTGCTTAGCAAAGTGTTGGGAGAGCCTCTTGATTGCTTCTGACTACTTATAATAAAATGTGAAAGGAGAGAGATGAATTGAAAGAATTGTTAAGCAAAAAGGACCCAGAGCTTAAAGATTTAGAAAATTCTTAGCCTATCCATATTGCAAAAAATGAGGAAGCTTGTTCTAAAGAGAACACTAAAGGTGTGGCTGAGCAACCCTTTGATAAAGAGATCATGGGTGTGATTCATAAACTTAATTAGCTATCTCAGCAGAGACCAGGAATGGAGATGGGGTTATGCCAGCAGAGATACTACCAGTTTGAACTAAAGGGAACAGAGAAAGTGGGACAGAATGAAGGAAGGCTGTCAGATATCCTGCCTTTTATCTTTCAAAGGGCAGGACCAGGATCCACCAGAACCATGTGGATGGGGCGGAGAGACAAAAGGGGAAGGTCACTACCACCCCAGTGGGCCTGGAAGGCAGAGTATTGAATCAAAGAAGATTATTAAGATCTAATAGAATTTTCATTGCTAGGTTTTTGACTTGTTTGGGACATGTCACCACTTCCTTCTGATTTCTTCCTTTGGAATGGAAACTTTATCCTATGCCTGTCCATTATTGTATTTTGGAAGCATATAACTTGTCTAGTTTCACAAGTTTACAGCTGGAGAGGAATTTTGCCTCAGGTTGAATTATACCTTGGGTCTGACCCATATCTGATTTAGATGATATTTACTTGAGACTCTAGACTTTAGAATTGATGGTAGAATGAGTGAAGACTTTTGGGACAATTAGAGTGAAATAAGTGTGTTTCGCATGCAAGAAGGACATGAATTAATATTCCACATATGGAATATTATGGACTTTGTGTTCCCCCTAGATTCTCTGATTGAAGCCCTTACCCCAAATGCCACTATATTTGGAAGTAGGGCCTTTATGGAAGTAATTAAGGTTAAATGAAGTCATAAGAGTAGGCCCTTGATCCAGTAGGA
The DNA here is from genome assembly GCF_000001405.40 of Homo sapiens. NCBI lineage: Eukaryota > Metazoa > Chordata > Mammalia > Primates > Hominidae > Homo > Homo sapiens. The sequence goes on along the minus strand of NC_000011.10, from coordinate 31,220,956 downwards.
ATAGTGTCCTTATCAGAAGAGGCACCAGAGATCTGTCTTTCTCTTTATACCATGTGAGGACACAGCAGAAAGGCAGTTGTTTGCAACCCAGGAAGAGACCCCTCGAAAGAACTTGACCATACTCGCACTCTGATCTTGGATTTCAGCCTCCAGAACTATGAGAAAATAAATTGCTGTTGTTTAAGCTATCCAGTCGATGGAATTTTCTTATGGTAGCTCAAGCTGACTAATAGAGTCTTCTTGTTCAAATGGTACTTTGCACATTCAAAATTGGTTTTTAACATCAATTGTAAAATCAGACATGTTGAATTTTTAAAAAGTTGATTTGTCTTACATAAAATTTTAATACAAAATATAAAGTGTAAATATAACATAATGCATCTGATTTTTAAAAACAAACATAAATCAGAAATTACACAGCCTGAGTACAGTAAGCAGACTTCAATCTTGTGAGGTTATTTTAGCAATACTGCCTTGCTCAAAACCATTTTGGATTTACCTTAATTGCATTCTTTTGAATATTGTCAGTGATGATGTTTACATCTTTGCAGTGTGAATTTAAATTTTTGGAAATTCAAAAAGTAATTTTTGTTAAATTTGGTGAAACATTTAGTATTAAGTATCAAAAATAGTTTCATCAAGAATATATTATGAAGCTGCGTATTTTCATTAGGACCTAATTCCTAGATAAATATTGCCCATTACACGTTTCAAAGATTCTTCTAAATGCTTCAGGAATTGTACATGATAATCCTTATTGAGTGTTTTATTTTGTGGTATGAATTTTATAAGAATGTCATTTGTGTCAAAGAAATAAAATTATCTTCACTGGTGATTTTGACATGGACTTCCTAGAATATAGGGTTATTGTTATTAAATCTTCTCTTTTTCTGTTCACATGAAATTCATGGCGTATCTTCAGAGTAATTTTAAAAAATTTTCTGGCCAATCCAGTATCCTGTACTGTTTCAGGTGTGGGGGCTGGAGTCAGATTGCTTCAGGTCAAGTCCAGGCTTTCGTGTTTAACCAGCTCTGAGGTCTTAGGCAAGTTAACTAACCCCTGTTTTCAGGTTTCTTATCTGTAAAATGAGGTTAATAATAGGATTGTTGTGAGATTATACCTGTAAACACTTAAAAATGAGATAATACCTAAAAATGGTAAAATTTATATGTGCTTATATGGTGCCTGGCTTATAGAAAACAATAAATATTAGCTATTATTACCATCATCATATCATCATTCTCTGCTCATATCCAATCACTGCCTGCCACCTTTGTCGAGCACAGTGCCTTGTCCTTAGTTGGTATATTTGTTGATAAACCAGTGAAAGAATGAAAACCCTTTTCAAGATTTCTTTTAGAATAAGTCTAATTCTTTGACTAAATTTAACTCTTTGGTCATCTTTCTTTCAATTATTTATTTGAATGCACTAAATATCATATCTTCAACATTTTCTGTCTTACAGTAAGGGGTTTCTAAGCCTGACAGCATCAGAATCACATAGGTCCCGCCTCTGCTCATGTTTATATTCAGCAGACCTGGGCAGGACCAGGGGGCTAGTTTATTGAAAATGCTCTAGAGTTGATTCTGATACTCAAGCTAGGTTGAAGTATTGTGAGAGTGAGTCTTATTTTCTTAATGAAATTTTTGAGATCAGTTAAAAAAAATCTTGTTTTTGACATAACTTTATCCCCTCCAGCTTCTTTTTACAGGTCATGTACTATTTTGCAGATACATTTGTTAAAAATCTAAATTTATTCTAAAATTTTTACTTTTTTTTTTAACTGTAAATTGTTTTGTGCTCTAAATTGTTTGCTTTGTAATGTGGGCTGTGTGTGTGTGTATGTATGTGAGAGTGTGTGTGCTTCTTTAGCACCAACTCAGGCATGGGCTGGCCAGCCTTCGGAGCTCCGTTCTTCCAGGTCAAAGCTTGTTTAAACTTGTCCTTGCTATGATCACTCCTTCACTGTTTCTTCAAGCCATGCATGAGAATCAGCCTCATTACTTTAAAGCAGCACCTCATATGCTCAGAATGCTCTGCCATCTAATTTCAGCAAAATTACATATCTACCCACCAAATTTTACTAAAAATTAGGACCTTGTCATAATATTGGGATTTTTCCAGTTTTGGTACACAACTAATATACTAGTTAATGGGAGTGAGGGAGGAAGAATGAAGGTAGAAAGCTTCAAGTTAAAAGTTAGAATATAGGTTTGAAATATTAACGTTACTTAGAGTTAGACACTGAGTTTTTAATCCTCTCCAACTTATCATCTGTTTGACATTTAGCTGTTACATTTTATTATGACCCTTTTTTTCTTTTATAAAAGTATATTTATGCTGATGTCATAAAAGATAAAATTTAGTTCTGGAAGCTCTCTGCAAATGTCATTGGACACTGGGCAATAAATGTAACCCAAATAACCTGATGTCAGGGAAAATAAAAATCAAGGCAGCATTCTAATGATAATAGCTTTAAAAAAGTGAATGTCTCTTTAAGGAAAACAGAATCTTTTGTTACATTTAAGTAGTGACTTGAAATTGGAAACATAGAAAGTTGGATTTGAAAAGGAAGTGATTGCTTTAATTTTTTCCCTATAAACATTTATTCTTAGAGTATCAAGAGAAAAGCTTTTGAGAAGAATGATGATGACAATATCTTGTATTTTATACCAATGTGTATTATCAATTGCATTAGTTTTCTAGTGTTTTGGCTTTTGTGAGAACTTCAGTACACATTAGAAATATTTTCTCTTCTTTTTCAATGTTCTCATTAATTAAAAAAATCTGTAATTATATTTTCTGCTTTGGAAATATTTATATTACGACTTTTTTTTTTCTTAAAGCAAATGACAAAAGATAAAAAGTAAAAGATAAAAATTTAGGAAAAAAGGTTTTCTCCACTTAGTGGGTACATATTTTAGAGAGGAGATATTTCTGCATTTTGTAATGCTGATATTTCTTTGAAATATATAGCATAGATTTTCAAACAATAGCCAATAGCCAAAACAGATTGGACACACTATCTTTGTTGGGAGACATGGGCAGAGATATAGAGTACACATTATGAAAAAATCTATTTTTTCAGTTGAATTCCACTTGCATATTACTTCTCTGACAATTCTATAAAAATGAAGAGATATTACTTTAGTGACTTTTGTTAAATTTAGAAAGAAAATCTTATTAGCATGCATGTGGGATTAAATGTTGTATCATTTATAATAATATGTGTTTTACTACTTCTTATTTTTAAAATATCCTGTCTTTCAGTAATTAATTCCCCTTTGAGTTGAGTATATCCTTGCCTGAAACAGAATAGTTTCAGTGGATAAACAATGGGATGGCACATATAGAAGTACATAGTTTTTCTGTAGAAGATAGTTTCCAGTGATAACATTTGGATCTTTTCTTACAGAGGTGCTTCTAGTTTTCTATTTTATGTCTAACTTATAGATGGATAATATGGACTAGTTTGTGCTCTTCCTTTGTATACATATATACTTGACCCATTTGTGATTTAACTTACTATGACAGCTTTTCAAAATCGACCGGAGTTGTTTATAGTCCTCCAGATCAGAGTATCTAAAAACTTAGTTTTTTAAAAAATTGACTTAAAATCACTTTGAAGTCCATATAGTTCAGATTATACATAAAAATTTGTATATACTTACAAATAGACTTACCTATTTTCAAATATGCAAATCAGCACAGACCAAAAGTAAAGACATTGCACCTGCTTCTTCCCATAATTTATCTTTGTGAAATGACAGCTTGCTTTTGACACTTCTGTGAAATGTTAAAAGTTGAGTGTGCCTCTTACCTCCCTTTTCTATCATCTCCCTCTCCCTGTTGTAGGCTTAATGTAGAGGAGGGGGAGTGATTTACCCCAGCAGGGAGGATCCTTCTTTATTGCCCTTTTCACCCCATTTGTAATGTTGTTTCTAAGAGAAATACAATCTATGTTAATTAATAAACATATTTATTGAAGTAAAGTTCACATGTAGAATTAATTTTTAAAATAAAGATTTAGAAACCAAACATTGAGGGATGAGAGGAACTGATTTATGCTTTGTAGACTACTCTGGCTATTTTGAGAGTAAAAGCAAGAAACCCAGTCAGCACAGAATCTAGGCTTCAGCATGAGGTTCAGAGGTGGGAAAATGAGGGAGATCTTTTAAAATTGAAGGCCACAGACCATCTCTGTCTTGTATGGGGAAAGCTAAGACCCTGAGTAACTAGTACTGTCTGGGCTTATCTATGAGGTAAGCATTGGGATGGCTGGAGGTGGTTTCTGTGCATGAACTATGAAGCACCTGCCTTGAGATTATGACATCCAGATGCCATAGCTGATCTGGGACAAAAATCTCTAGTTTGATTTTATGACATCTGCTTGTCATTTCAGTAGAATTGAGGTCTGCAGTGGGCTAAATGGCCGGGTAAGGTTTCTTAAGTAGTTTGGATTCTACAGTGTAGATCTGCCCCTTTTGCAAATGTTTGCCACTTCAGCTGAACAAGTCAAAGTTCTGCTCAAGAGTGCAGAGTAGTATCTCAGCACCTTCATGGATTCTGAAAGGTGAATTCAACTGCTATAAGCTTTTACAGCATAAATTTACCTCAAAGTTTTTGTATGTATGTATTATAAATTCCAATTCGTAAGCATTAGGAAATTTCTGTGTATATCTAATCCTCTATCTGTCTACCCATGTCTATCATGCCCATTTTCTATGATCCCTTGCCACTAGGGGAAAATAACGTTAATATTCATATTAATAGTTGCAACCCCTTTCTGCCCAGATTAGCAGGAATTCCAGTGTTTCTCTGGGATTCTCCCTTTTGAAGTTTCTTGGTGTCCTTTCCTATTAACACACCTCAGTGGGGACCATCTCATTGCATTAGTGAAGCTGTACTAACAGCTCTAATTGCTCTAAAGGGAAGAGGGCAGGAACTCCATCACATTCTGCCCTAAATGCTCCTTGGCTCTGCATGGCAGAGGTATGAGATGGGCAGCCATAAATAAGAATCTGTGACACTCTTTCCCCAGAGCATTAACTGCATTTTTCTTTTATGTTTATGAAACTAACAAAGGCCACTCAAGAGCTTCTTTTTAGAAGGAAAAAGGCCCAATTTAAAAGGATTCCTGCTGCCTCCATTTTTTTTTTTTTTTAGATGGAGTCTTGCTCTGTCACCAGGCTGGAGTGCAGTGGCACAATCTTGGCTCACTGCAACCTCTGCCTCCCGGGTTCAAATGATTCTCCTGCCTCAGGCTCCCGAGTAGCTAGGACTATAGGCGCACACCACCATGCCCGGCTAATTTTTTGTATTTTAGTAGAGATGGGGTTTCACCATGTTGGCCAGGATGGTCTCAATCTCCTGACCTCATGATCTGCCCACCTTGGCCTCCCAAAGTGCTAGGATTACAGGCATGAGCTACCGCGCCAGGCCTGCTGCCTCCATTTTTAGGCAGAGAAGTAGCTGACAAGTTTTAAGTGGTGGCTAACAAAAGATTTACAATTTTGGTTAACTGGAGATTTTGTAAATAGATATACACATGACATAAACACCTATATCATGCATGTGTATCTTATCTACACATACACATGTCATAACCTCTCATTATATTAGTTTTCAACAGAAATTTCTTATTTTTAAAATGTATTTATTTATGAATTATTTATTTTATTTTATTTTTAGAGAACTGGGTCTCACTATGTTGCCCAGGCAAGCCTCAATCTCCTGTGCTCAAGGGATCCTCCTGCCTCAGCCTTCCGAGTTGCTGAGACTACAGGTGTGAGCCACTGCACTTCTAAGAAATTTCTATTTTAGTTGTTCACACATGTTTGAATTTGCTTTAGATAAGTTTAATTTTTAAAATGTGGGACTTCTCACCCAGTTTAGACATAGATTTGATGAAATAACTCACTTGTATTTATATATACACATCAGTTTAATATGTAACTATTAAAATGTCCTGCTTAGATTTATATGACATGAATATTTTAAAATATTAAATATATAAAAATATTAAGTTTCACCTTTATATTTAATTATGGAAGTTTTTATAGTAATTTATTTCTTATGTTAGTTAAATTATTGAAGGTAAGAAGCATAAATTACCCTAAATTAACATATATTTGAAATTTATCTGTATTATAGAACAAATAATCTCTTTCCCTTGACAAAGAAACTTGTATTAGTGAATTAAAATGATAAAAACACATTTCTGTTATCTTATTTGTAACCTGTAATTTCTAAAGACCAATTTAAGGTATATTGTCTCTACAAATGACATTAAATTAGACCTCAGTCATCTGTTTCCTGTCACTTCCTATTATTTTGTACTTGTTCATCAATCCTTGGGGGAAATCAGAGCCTGTTTGGCTCTTTCTAATCTGCATAATGCTCATTGAGGGCGTGGTCAGGAGGCACCTCCCCTCCCTACCACACTGAGGATTTTACCCATCTCAGGCCCACTGATAATTCCTCTAGATCCTGCTGTGTGCAGCAGAGTGAATTTGACTCTTAAAAAAAAATTAAAATCAAATTCTACCATTAGTTTAAATGTTTAAATCTACTTTTACATTATACATTTTGAAATGTAGTTTTCAAAAAATTGTTGTTCATAATTTTATACCTTATCAACTAAAGTTTCATATAGGTAAAGTATTAACCCTTGTTCCAAGATTTTCATCTCGGTAAATAAAGACTGTATTTTGTAATAGTCTGGGAGATTATATATGCACACATTTCTAATTATGGAGACATATTGTTTGCAACAGTACAACAGAAAGAATCAAGGCCCCATGTGGTCACCTATTCACCTTATTTTGATAAAAAAAACTTTTTACAATGAATTAATGTTTTTATCCATCTTTTTTAAATGTAGCAATTATCCTATAAGTGAATTAATGATCTTTTGTAAAATTACAGAAATTTATAAATTATAAAATGGAAGTCCCCCCCACCAAAACTATTCCCCAGAGATAATTGCTGTTAATAACATTTTCTAGGCATATTCATATATATATGTATGTGTAGATACATGTACATGTGTACACACTCAACAATATAAATAAATACTTCTTTTTCTCTAATATGAGTGATACATACTCCCTTTTTTAAACAAGTAATAGTCGGTAATATTAGTAATATTCTTGTTTTATTATCTACTATGTCATGGACCTCTTTACATGTCAAAAGTAGTAGAAGATGACCACTTTTTTTTTTGTTTTTTTTTTGAGACAGAGTCATGCTCTGTCACCCAAGCTGGAGTGCAGTGGCGTGATCTCGGCTAACTGCAACCTCCATCTCCCGGGTTTAAGTGATTCTCCTGCCTCAGCCTCCTGAATAGCTGGGATTACAGGTGCCCGCCACCACGCCTGGCTAATTTTTGTATTTTTAATAAAGATGGGGTTTCACCATGTTGGTCAGGCTGGTCTCAAACTCCTGACCTTGTGATTCGCCCATCTCGGCCTCCCAAAGTGCTGGGATTACAGACATGATAAGCCACCGCCCCCTGCTGAAGGTGACCACTTTTAATGCCTGTGTTAAGCTTTGGGGATTTAATACTCCTACTTTAGATGTTAAACAAATTGATAAATAGACTCAGGAGCCAGGCAGGAATTAAAATCCAGTCTCTACTTACCAATGATAAGGCTAAATTTGAAAAGATCATTTTGACATGAGGCGAAAATAGACCCTGAATAGAAAATATCCAACCAGACTGGGGTGAAGTGACTGAAGAGCCACATGCCTTTCTTGGAGGACAGCAAACCACTGCCCTGGTAAAGAAAGCAGAGAGAGAGAGAGAGAGAGAGAGAGAGAGAGAGAGAGAGAGAGAGAGAGAGAGAGAGAGAGGCTGGGCTTTATATAGAAGATGACACAGTTTCACCAATGCACATGTCTATGTCTGGATCATCTAATAAGGAAGAGCAAGTGAGGAGCAGAGAGAAGGAAGAAAGCTTCCTCCTAGGAGGGCAGAGGCATCCAGGAGAATTTCTTCTTCACGTAGTACACAGGTTTACCACATCTTACATAACAGTTATATATAGCTACTAATGGACATTTAGGTTTCTTCCAATTTCTATTACAATGAGCATTGCTGCATTGCAGTTAATGTCCTTGTACACAGTTTTGTATATTTTTGCTAGTAATACTGAATATGAACTCCTAAAATTAGAATTACTGAAAAAAATACAGATTTATTTTTTCCCCAGATATTTCCTAATAGCTAAAAGGAAGTTTGAGCCTATTTACATTGTATCCAAAGATAAATTAATATACCGTTTTCTTGCATCGTCATTTTTATTCACCCATGTCAGCCTGATAGATTTAAAAAAATCTCATTTGAAAAATCTGTTAATTCATTAGTAGTGAAGTTACATATATTTCTGTAGGTTTATTGTTCACTTGTATTTTTTTAATAATTCACCCATTCATATCTTTGCCCAGTTAGCTATGTTCATCTTTCTTATTGAATTGTAAGCATTCCTTATGGGGTGTGTGTTTAAATTACCTGTTATATAAAAATGTAATACATTTCTCCCTAAATTTGTCCTTTGTCTTATACATTTTTTAGTGTGTTTTGATATATAGCAGTTAAATTTCTACTTAATCACCTCTTAAAACTTAAAAAAATAGTTTCTTGTTTTTTTTAATCAGGAAAAACAAAATTTTCGCATTGTAAGGGTATATTTTTCCTCTAGTATATTTATTTTTTACAGTGAAATTTTTCATTCATACAGAATTTATGTTTGCAATTGTGTTGGGAGTTTAAAAATTTATATTACTACTATAAAATTTAATTCGTTTATTTACATTGTAAAACTTTAAAAGGTATTACTTAACTATGCTTAGCTGTTTTTTTTTTTTTTTTGAGACTGAGTCTCGCTCTGTCGCCCAGGCTGGAGTGCAGTGGCGCGATCTTGGCTCACTGCAAGCTCCGCCTCCTGGATTCATGCCATTCTCTTGCCTCAGCCTCCCAAGTAGCTGGGACTGCAGACACCTGCCACCATGCCCAGCTAATTTTTTTGTATTTTTAGTAGAGACGGAGTTTCACCGTGTTAGCCAGGATGGTCTCGATCTCCTGACCTCGTGATCCACCTGCCTCGGCCTTCCAAAGTGCTGGGATTACAGGTGTGAGCCACTGCGCCCGGCTGCTTAGCTTTTTTTTAAAGCTCAGTAAGTTAACCTGGAGGTTTAGATATTCTATGACACGTTATATGGAACGTAAACTATAACTGCTTATAGAGTCTACATTATGTAGAGTAGCAGAAAATACGAAAGGAAAACTGCACCATTGACAGCTTGTATACATGAGGCCTTAAAAATACTGAAAATGATTATTCCATATGGATTTTTTCCGATTAAAGAACAAAGTATCTAGGCATGTCTGTAAGTAATTAACTCATGTAATCTCGATTCAGGAAGCATGTTTAATTCATCTCATATTGAAATTAACTCTCAAATCCCTAGGCCTCACAACTTAAAACAGTGCAGGTGGGATGGGGCGATAGTGCAAATAATTAAAAGCAATTCAGGTAGTAGGCATGTGGATAGTAGTCACGCATTTTGAGGATGCAGTTGTGCAATTGTGTATACAAATACTTGTTTCTGATAAATACATATGGTCTTAAATAAATAGAAAATTGAGTGTATCCTAGTATAGCCAGTTGAGACATCATATATGCTTTATCATCATAATTATTACATATTGTTAGATTTTATGGTTAGGATAGTTTGAATAATGTAGTGTGAGAAATACAGTCTAGCTCTGATCCCCAAGCTCAGTCTGATTGCTAAAGATGGAGTCTTGAATATGCTCATGAAGTCATGGTGGATGATCATCTACAGATGAGAGCAGTCCCTTTGTCTCAAGTGTAAAAGTCATAAATGTTTTCTGAAGTAGTCCAGAGATCAACCAAGTAAGTTTGGCCTCTTGCAAAATAGCCTTCTTCAGAATTTATGAAACTTGCTTGCCTAGATAGAAAAAGAATAGATTCCAGGGTAATAGAGATATTTATCCATTCATGGATTCAAGGAGGCAGTAGAATCCGGAGGTGCCTCTTACCGTGTGAATGTGAGTAAGATATCCTCTTTGTGCTTCAAGGTTTTATTTATTGAATGAAGATATCTTAGGGTTAGTATTAATGAATTAATATATGAAAAGATCTGGGAACAGTGCTTGGTCCATTCTCTTTTGCTTCTTTTTTCTTTTCTTTTCCTTTCTTTCTTTTTTTTTTTTTTTTGAGACGGAGTCTCTCTCTGTCGCCCAAGATGGAGTGCAGTGGCGTGATCTTGGCTCATTGCAACCTCTGCCTCCCGGGTTCAAGTGATTCTCCTGCCTCAGCCTCCTGAGTAGCTGGGATTACAGGCATGTGCCACCATGCCCAGCTAATTTTTGAATTTTTAATAGAAACGGGGTTTCACCGCATTGGCCAGGCTGGTCTTGAACTCCTGACCTCATGATCCACCTGCCTCGGCCTCCCAAAGTGCTGGGATTACAGGCATGAGCCACCGTGCCCGGCCGGTCCATTCTTAACTCCACAGTAAGAGCTCAGTAAATGCTAGCTATAAATGCTATTAGTCATTCAGTCAATAAACATTCCTTTCGTACCTACTTTGGGACTCACACAGGAGTATAGTACCTTTCTGGAACTGGGAACAATTGATAGTCAGTGACATAGAATGTCTTCAGCCATGTAAAAGGTTTTGCTATGGAAGAACTACCTTCTCTTTGCGTGGGAGGGCACTGACTTTCTTCATTCAAGAAAAGCAGAGAAAACCAGAAAGCTCTGGCAGCCTGAGGAACTGGCACACCAAATTCTACTTGAAGGGTGATTGACTTATGGTAAGAAATATATGGGCATGGATGTGGGGAGAAACTAGGATTTATCGGATACCCCCCATGTAGCAGACACTGGTAGACATGCATGTTTGCTCATTCAATTAATAATGAAAGTGAAAGGAGGGAGAAATGACTCTAGTTGTTGCAAGGCCAACCCCATTCATTTGTTTTCTCTGGTCCCACATCATCTCATTGTGTCTGGTGGACTGACTGTCCCTCTTTCTTTTACTTTCCTTTATCTCTCTCTATGCATTGGCCTCTCTCCCGTTCATGCTTGTTCCTTTATCCTTGCTTGAAGAGGTCTTTCCACAATTCTTCTACTCTCTTGACATACCTTTCCAGCATTCCTCTCTGTTGGTAAACAACTCAGAAGAGGAGTTTTTATTCTCTGCCTTAAATTTCTTACTACTCAGTCATTGTCCAACCCCTTAAATGACTTTTGCCTCAATCAGACTCTGCAGACTCAATCAGCTCTGGCTGAAATCTGCTATGCAGTAACTGCCCCTCTGAGATATGTCAACCATGCATTGTAGATGTTTCAGGACTTTTTATTTCACTGGAGTTTATTCTTTAATTTTCAAAATACAGTTAATTAACTAAAGGTGGAAAAGGGCAATAATGATCCCTAGTTATTCAAATCACTGGCTTTCTATCATCTTCAACCACTCTGTAATATTTGACACTATTTAATTGATTTGGGAAGCCATCTTCTCCCTGGCTTTTGTGAACTCTTCTGGTTTTACTTCCCCTCTCAGACTATTCCTTGTGTTCTCCTTTTTAGAAATCACTACCATTCCCTGCCTTTGCCAGGTATGTTACCTCGGAGGGAACGTACTTAACTTATTTAAGTCCAGGACACTTCTAACTTCTTTTCCTACTGTTTCTTTCTGGGTAGCTTCAGTAGTGTCTATACCTACCTCTGTGTCAGTGACTGCAAATTTTGTATTTCTACAATTAGTACCTGTTTAAATTCAGACTGAATTTCCAAGTATCCGTTAAACATCATGTTCTCCTGACCCCTCAAATTCCATGTTCAATGGCATGTATTTATTTGAGTATCTACTATCTGCCAAGCACTCTAGGAATTGAGAAATGTACACGCATACAAGGCTGAGTTATTGCCTTAAAGAGCTTGCTGAGGGGTAGGGCAGAAAATAAAACATAAAAAAAAGATAATTTCAGGTGCTGTTGGATGCTATCAAGAACATGAAATAGGACATTTTTTCAGAGAATGGCTAGTGGTTTGGTTTTTGTTGATAAGGCAGTCTCTGAGGAGGTGATAGCTGAATGATAAGAAAGATCCAGACATGTGAACCTATTGTGGGAAGAGCTTTCTCAGAAGAAGCAAAAGCAATTGCAAAGGCCCTGGTGTAGGACAGAGTGGTGCATTTGAGGAGCAGAGGAATAAGGCTGTTGGACTGGAGTATGATGACTGGTGGTGAGGTGGGGACATGCAGATCATAGAGAGCTTTGTGGAGCATGGTAAGGAGTTTCTTTTTTACTCTTGGAAAGTATTGAGGAGTTTTAAGCATGGAGGTGACATGAACTAATGTGTGCTTGAGAAAGATAATGCTGACTCGTATGTGGAGGAGGCATTGTAGGATGAGCGGAGACAGACAAACCTCCAAAGAGTGGAGGCTGTTGAATTTTATCCAGTAGAAGTTGATTTGCATGAACTCTATAGTGAAAATTATGAGGAATTATAAGACTCAGGATATATTTTGGAAATAGTCCTGAAAGAATCTACCATTGGATTGGATATTGTGTGTGAGGGAAAGGCAAGAATGCAAGATGTGTCCTACTTCTGGGGTTAGCCTGAGCCAAAAACATTGGCTCCATTTACTGAATAAAGAAAACTGGGGTGAAGGGGAGATTGTTTGCCATTAGGTAGTCAAACCAAGAGGCTGAGTAGGTAATTGAACAGACAGAAATGAGATCTGGGTAAGAGATACAAGTTTAATATATAACTATTAATATATAGATAGTAAGTAAAACCATGGAAATGGTTGAGATCACCAAGGGTGAGAGGATAGATAAAGAAAATAAAGATACCAGAACTTGAGACTCTGCAATGTCCAGTGGCTGAGTAAAAGAAGGATCAACTAAGGAAGCTGAGAAGGAATAGGTGGTTGTTAAGACACAAAACTCAGAGAAGAAAATATTTAAGGAGGGAGTGATGAAGCATATCAGATACTGCTGATGATTAAAGTGGGAAGACAATGGAAAATTACCATTGGCCTTGACTAGATGTTGGTTTTTAGTGACCTTGCCAAGAACACTTTGGACGGTGTGGTGAGGATGAAAATCTGATTTGAGTAAGTTGAAGGGAATGGGAAAAAGTAGAAAGGAAGTATAGACAACTTTTTCAGAGTGTTGAGGTAAGCAGAGTAGAGAAATAGAAGGGGCTGAGTGGCCAGGGGAGGGTTCCTTAAAGTGAATTTTACATTAAGGCATGTTTGCATGCTAAATATGAATAATCAGATAAAGGAGGACAACTGATATTGCAAAAGATCCATTATATAATTTCAGGAGAATAGACAGTTCATCCGATGTAACAGGGAAAAGGATGGAGTTTGTGAGCACACATGCAGGTGTGCTGGTAAAATGGGCGGAGAGAAGATGATATAGTTCTCATTTGGTTACCTGTTTTAGCTAGGAACAGAATAACTCAATCAACACTTATTTATGGCACAAATACCAGTTGGGAAGAAAGAATTCATCAAAGAAGACACACATGGACACCCTTCTGCTTAACTTGGTTTTATGTCTTGTATGTTTTATAATCAGAATTTACCTTTATAATATTTAGTATAATATTTATAATATCACCTGAATAATATTTAGTTTTAGTAATAACAAACATTTCATGTTGCTTATTGTGTACTAGCCACAGGCCTAAGCACTTTTACATATGTTGTCTCATTTAATCTTTAAAACAACCCCATTTACAGGTTCTATTATTATCTCATTGTGCAAATGAGGAAATAGGTACATAAGGGTTAAGTAATTTCCGAAGGTATGTCATACTATACTGGCTTTCACCAAAGTAGATATAAAAATATGTAGTACTAAATCTTTGTAATGTAGGATTTTGTTATTTGCAACATTTTTAGTGATAGACAAAACTCTGCCTCCCATCCCTGTTTCTATTTCAAAGTTGAGTGTAAACAATATTAAAAATATATACAACTATAATGTTTTATGAAATTACCTGTGATTTCTCATATTGAAAGTCCCAAGTATTGCTAAACTGATTGTAATGTGATGTCTACATTTATAATGGAAGGGCATGTTAAATTTTAATAAGTTAGAATAAATAGGGAATTCATCTTTTCTCCATTGAAGGTCTGAATCTCTGAAATTCTTTCCACAGATGCCTTAGAAATCCATGGACCTGGGCCAGGCGCGGTGGCTCACACCTGTAATCCCAGCACTTTTGGAGGGACTGAGGGGGGCGGATCACAAGGTCAGGAGTTCAAGTGCAGCCTGGCCAACATAGTGGAACCCCATCTTTACTAAAAGTACAAAAAAATAGCAGGGCGTGGTGGCGCATGCCTGTAATCCCAGCTACTCCGGAGGCTGAGGCAGGAGAATCACTTGAGCCTGGGAGGCGGAGGTTGCAGTGAGCGGAGTTCACTCCACTGCACTCCAGCCTGGGCAACAGTGCGAGACTCCATCTCAAAAAGCAAACAAACAAACAAACACAGAAATCCATGGACCTTAGATTGAGATCTCATGATCTTAAGAGTTGGATAGATTCAGGGTAAACATTTTTGGCAGGAATAATTCCCAGCTGATGCTTTGTATTTCACTTTGCCTGACATCACCAGGAACGTATTGTCTCCTCCTCCCACTCTCAGCAATGGGCTTTGAGGTAAGGGTGTAAAGTTATACTTTTCCCTTTTTAACCACAAGTAATCTATGAGCACTATGCAAATATTCATTTTCATATCAACTTTTCACCTACTGGTTTTAATATCCATTGATGATTCTTTATCCATTTGCCTTGAAGATAGAGGAAAGTATTTTAAAAATTCTGTTAAAGTCATCTAAAACTCATCTATCGCAGTAATGTTCATGGTCGTTGGGGACAGTGATAGGTGGGAAAGTTTCAGCTTTAATTTTTTAATTTTTAATTTTTATGTGTACATAGTAGGTATAGATATTTATGAGGTAAGGTTCAGCTTTTGAGATAGAAGTAGGGTTGCCAGATAAATTATAGGGCAGCCGGTTAAATTTGAAATTCAGATAAACAGCAAATAATTTTTAGCATAAGTATGTCTCCAATATTTCATGGGACATACTTATATTGAAAATTATTCATTGTTTATTTAAAATTCAAATAAAATGGGCACCTTAAATTTTTATTTGCAAATCTGACAACTCTAGGTTGCTAAGGCTAAGAGGGCTAAGGTGAATGGTAGTGATTGGAAATACCTATGCATAACTTTACGAGGATAAATTATTAATAGATTTTAAAATACCATTGGAGCTCATATGATGGAATTAATATTGGCACTTACACAAGTAACCTGTAAGATCTATTTCTACTTTTATTAGTCAAAAGAATAAGAATTGTACTTAAAAGAAGCAGACAAAGTACCTTTCCTTTATTGTGATCCAATAACATTAACTCTGGAAATATCACCCCAGCAGTACTATCAATTATTACCCTAGACAGCCAAACCTAACTTCTTAAATATGTTTACAGTATGCTTATTTAATAGGCAACATTTTGTCATATTTTAGGCCAAGGGTCTGTAATTCTTTTCTGGAAAGGCTTGGATAGTAATATTTTAGGCTTTGTGTACCATACAGCCTCTGTTTCAACTACTAATCTCTGCTGTTGTACCATACAAGGACCTATAGACAATACGTAAATAAAACTTTATTTATACAAACAGGCAACAGACTGGATTTAGTCTGTAGGTTGTAGTTTGTTCAGGCCTCTTCTAGAAAAGCAAGCTATAATATGATTATCTTATATATTGTTACCCAGAATTCCTCCAGCAGGAAGGTTTCACAGTGTGACTAACAGGTCTGCTGAATTAAGAGAAAACTCTTATAGATAAGAAGGTGCCTATAGTGATATTCCATTGGCTCAGAATCCAAAGCCTACTGAGAGTATTGTCAATGCCAACTCTACTTTATATAGACTGGAAATGGCATGACTGAATTTGAAGGGTCTGCAACAAAGTAGAGAAATGTTAGGTTCTCCTGCCTTTTTACTGAGCCATTAGCCATTTGAATTTTTTGTTTGTTTTTTGTTTGCTTGTTTTGTTTTGTTTTTGAGATGGAGTCTTGCTGTGTTGCCCAGGCTAGAGTGCAGTGGCACAATCTCGGCTCACTGCAACCTCCGCCTCCTGAGTTCAAGCGATTCTCCTGCCTCAGCCTCCTGAGTTCCTGGGGTTACAGGCTCCTGCCACCATGCCTGGCTAATTTTTGTGTTTCTGTAGAGACAGGGTTTCACCATGTTGGCCAGGCTGGTCTCGAACTCCTGACCTCAAGTCATCTGTGGGCCTCAGCCTCCCAAAGTGCTGGGATTACAGGCATGAGCCCCCGGCTATCATTTGTTTTGTTTTGATGAAAGTTTTCAATCTATTCCAATCCCATTTAACAGGAGATATTGTGATATTGGAATTCCCTATCTAGGAATATGGAATGTATATCCCTTTTTTTTTTTCAGGCTATCTTTTTTTGTCCTTAAATAATATTTTGTCACTTTATATACAAAGGGCTTGCATATCTTATGTTATTGTTATCCTTGGCACCTTATATTTGGGGTGTTGTACTTTTTCTACCCTCTTGAATTGAATACTTAAATTAATTATTTTAGCTCATTCTTAATGTTAATAAGCATATCTAAAGCTATTCACTTCCCTCTAAGTAAAACTTTATTCATCCACCAAATTTGGCATATGTACTACCAATGGCATGCTGTGGTTGGCTCACAGTACTCATAGAGCCAATTATGTGCATCTCTTCCCAACACTGCATTCAATTCATATACCTTGAAATTGGACATGGTAGGAGCAATAAGCACCACAGAAATTGGCAAACACTAAAAATTGAATTTAAAAATTATAAGTACATTTCCAGTTGCTTATTAATGTTATATGAGAAGGCCACACTTTTTGAATATTACTATTGGTCCTTGTAGATGCTCTTGATTGTAGAATTTGTATTATTTGTACACAAGGAGAGTTTTACAAGTTTTCTGACATACATTTTATTTTTTATTTTTTGTTTTGTTGCATGGGGTCAATATTCCAGTGTAATGTTGAATAGAAGCAGTGATAGTGATATCTTGTCTTTAATAGAATGAGTGCTTCTAAAATTTTATTATTCAAAATAGTATTTTTCTTACCATTGGAAAATATATATATAAATGATCTATTCCTTATAGGTTTATAAAAACTACCCTGTGAAACTGTTGGGGCAGGTATCTTTTGTGGAAGGAGACATCAACTCTCCCACACTTCTGAATTATACATGAGAACACCAAACATGTTCCCACAGCATCCTACACCTCAACATCAACAGGGGAGCCCCTGGGTAGTAGTGAGAAGCCTAGGCTAGGTCCCAAGATGATGCCGTATCAGTTCATGACAATGGATGACATAAGGAATCTAGAGCAGCCGTTATATAGGTGTCTCAGTCTGTAACCAGTGGCTGCAAACTATCCCTATGACCTCAGAAACACAGCAACCCTCTGCTCCAGATACTCTGGTCAAAATGCAAGTGCTCAGTTCTAGGGGGTGACTGGATACTATATTTTTCTTTTCTCACTATTTGTAATTGATTATTTTTAGTATCCACTTGCTCCAGGTTCATTTTTGCCTTTTTATTATTTTTGTTCTTTATGAATAATTGATTTGTTCATTTATCTCTTACAGCATACTATAATGTTTATTTCATCTAGATTGATTCATCTTTCATTGTTCAAAATTTTTTGGCTGTCTTTCATGACATTTTATTTTTTTATCTGCTTTGGCATTTTGGTTTGCAGTCTCATCGAAGTGAAAATTTTGGTTATTTTTCCTCTCCTCCTTTCCTCTGTGCTCACCCTTCACTGTCCAGCAGTTATTTAATTGTTTTGCTTGCCTCCCAGGGAGTCCAGAACCCAGCCTTTTAATGCACGTTGGAATTTCTGACCAACAGTCACATGTTCTATTTCCTTCCACCACCCTCCATCCATCCCCTCAGCTTTCCATAAAGTCATATATCGAAACAGTGGGTCAGCTGCTGGGTTTTATTTTCTTGTTTTTTCCTGGCCTCTTTTCCTGGGAAATGCCTTCACTGAACCTCTCCGTATATGGAGCAGAGGACCCAAACTCTCAACAAACTCTGTCTGCTTCCACACTTTGGAACCAGTAGTCCAAGAACTTCAGTCCCTTCTTGTCTCTTATGTTGGTTATCTTGGTTTTGAGCCTGGCTATGTCCTTTTGATTTTCTTTTTTGATTTTATCTTACTGTTATAAATTTGAAGAAGTACCAAGTTGTCTTGGATAAAACTGTGTAACTTTATTGTTTGTTTGTTTGAGACAGGGTCTCGCTTTGATGCCTAGGCTGGTGTGTAATGGCGCAATCTTGGCTCACTGCAACCTCCACCTCCTGGGCTCAAGTGATCCTCCCACCTCAGCCTCCTGAGTAACAGGGACCACAAGCAAATGCCACCACAGTCAACTACTTTTTTTTTTCTTTTTTTTTTTGCGGAGATGAGGTTTTGCCATGTTGCCCAGGCTGATCTCAAACTCCTGGACTCAAGCAATCCACCCGCCTCGGCGTCCCAAAGTGTTGGGATTACAGGCGTGAGCCATTGCGCCTGGCATAAAATTGTGTAGCTTTAAAGTTCAGTCATTTAAAAAATTAAAAGAGAATGGCTAGTATTGAGAGGACCACACTGTCTACCATGCCAGACTTGTGACTGCAGTGGAGACCTGTGGTGCAGGGTACCTGGGTGCATAGTCTGTGCTTCTTGTATTTTTTCATGGCACATGATTCAAACCACTTTTGAGGTTTTTGACACTGCAGTGCACTATGGAGGAAGATGAAAAATTCACATTGTATATTCTTGCCTATATCAAACTGAAGCAAATTGGAAATCTAAAATTGATCTTTTTAAAAGCAAATACCATTTTATACTTTTAAAGCACACAAGAAAAAAAACCTGAGAAGTATAAAAATAGATATGCTAGCTCTGACACATCTTGTGTATTGACAGTGAGCTACAGTCTTTTAAGGATTTAAAATGAGTGGCTTGTCTAATTTGTTCACTTTGTTTTCACTTCTTTCCTCCCAACTGTCTTATTTTTACCCCACTGTCATATATCATACTTTTCAACCCCTGTCCAACTCTTGCAAATTTCACAATCTTATTTTTCTTAATGTGGCAACCCCTTTCTGATTTAACACTTCATCTTGCATTTCATTGTCTTTTTTTTTTTTTCTTTCCTTCCCTGTCTTGTTTTTTAGTTTGGGCACCACCTCTTAATATATTTTTATTTAATGGTTGATTATTTTAGAAACCATAGGTGGGAAAAAAGGGTACTGGGTGAAAATGACACATGTCAAGAGACTTTAAGAAGCTATTCTGAGTACAGGTGGTAATTGTGAATATTGTGACATTTTCTTCCTGATCTGAATATCACACTTTTCTAGGCTTGCTATCTTTAAGTACACTCAATACTCTTAAAGAATATTCAAGCTATATTTTAGTATGAATATTTTTGTCATATGACAGATGTTCAACTTTATAAAATGGCCACAAAGAAAAAGTATATAGGTGATACATATTTATTAATAATAATGTTAATTTTAATTTAATGATATTAAATATATTACATATTTTATACTGTTCTCTTATTTAAGGAGTATTTAAGGCAACATAAAATAATAAGTATATACAAAGAAACCATTGAAGTAAGCTAGTAGGTCGCATTCATTCATTTATCCATTGGGCATTTAATAAATACCCTCTAAGTTCACAGATATAACAATAAAGATGATAGGCCTGCTCCTTGTCCTTAAGAAGCTTAAAGTCTAATGGAGTGGACTGACAATCATCTGATACTGTGAAGTGTGGAAAGTGCTCAAAGAGAGGATAAGTAGGAAGAGCCAATTAGAGAAGATTTGGGGGCTAGAAGATTTTTTGTTTTTTTTTTTCTCCTAAGAGCAAGTAATACTCAATGTGCTAGGGATCATATATTTCTGGAGTACTTGGGAGCTTGACATGTCATAAAAATGTGAACATGCAAAATTTTAAATAATTAAATATCATTATAAGATAATAACAAAACCTCACCAATATAGGTTAGTTATTAGTAGCCAATGATAGCATGCTGTCAATAAATTTTACTGATTTTAATGAGCTTGTTACCTTATTTCTGGAAATAGCACATGAAATATAATTACTAAGGCAGCCTATCTAAACAAAATTAACAGAAATTTGTTCCTTTAAAAAATAATATTATTTTTTAATGTAAAAAGTAGATATTTGCTTGAATAGATGAATATCTAACTTATTAATTTTTACATTAGTTATAGATCTAACAATTGACTTGTGTTTCTTTTTAACTTGTTGACTTTCTGACCATTGTGACAAAAAGGAGAATTTTTTCCTTACTCAAAAATTTATATCGTTGCCACTCTGGCATTTCTTCCTGGTTTTTCAAAAATCCTTTCACTTTTTCTTTTAAAATTACTAAATATGTTCTGTAATTCTTGTCACACATTAATGTCAGTGAATCTAAGCTATGTTTAAGTTATCCACTGGCATCTAGTAATTATCCAGAATCATGAAATGCAAGGCAGTATCTTCTGATGTGTAAAATTTCAATCCTGAAGAGAATTCCTTAATTTAAAACACATCTTTAGACAGTTTTAATTTAAACTTTTTTTGTATTATAAATTACAGATACTTTCCTTAATTAAAATTCCCCTTTTGATCAGTAGTTTACTAGAGTCCTGAGTCTCCAAACATATTATAAATTATTAGAGAGATGGCATAAGTATTACCAGGGCAAGTTTCAAGTCATCTTTTTAAAAGCCCTTTACTTTTCTAAGCACATATAAGCATTTTCTTCATATAAAAATACCAGATTCCTTATAAACATTGATCAACTATATATCTATGATCAACTCTATATAAAAGTAGTCATTCAGACCAAATTATTTCATATGGCATTTGCTTTAGTATTTTTCAAAAACATGTATTCCTCCTATATGATGAAAAAACATTGAATTACTATTTTGTCATGAGAACTTTATAACAAAATTTAATTTTCAATCCTGTTTTGGACTAGCATTAAAAAACCAAAACACCCAAACCTGAGAGTAGTGTTGGTATCAGACACAAAGTATGTGAATTCTGATACCTTTTCATCACTTGTACACTAGGAATTCTATTTTTTAAATGATATCCTGCCAGCTTTTTCACAATCCATTAATTCCTGGATCAACATCAGAAGGAATGTCAGAGCAGAGTGAAATTCTTGTAAGACACAGATGTCAGGATCAAAAGTCAGAGACATTCTCTGAGCAGCAGGGAAGCAAGCTTGTTAGACTTTAATCGGAACAATTAGTATCTGCCATGTGACAGTCTCGATGCCTTGCCTTATATTTCTGTTAAGTTCCAGGCATGCTGAAAACACAAAGTCTTCTTCTGAGTTTGATGGAAAATTTCACAAGCTTTTGGACTCATTATTTTTGGCCAGGATTCTTAAGTTTTGTTGATCCTCTCCAAATTTCCTTAAATGGTAAATTGTTGATGTACTTAATAAACTAGTGTCTAGCTTATTATAGAGGCAAATTTTTATCTTTTCTGAGTGCATGTAATACAAAGTGACATGCTTTCTGGATGTTTGTGATTGTTAGTACTCAAGAGGCTTTTCCAGGGAGTTTATATCTCACAGACAGAGAGCTTTTATGGTTTAGTCCCTGATTGCGCCAATGGATGCTCAATAAATGTGAATCATTGATTAAGTAATTAAAATTGGATTTTGGGATTTTAGTTAAATAACTTCTTTGAAATTTGCTATCATATTTTGCTTGAGTCTCCATTAAATCAAAATACCTCCTCTGAATAAAAATAAAATCAATCAGGTTTTTTATTGACAACTACATGTTGTCAATAAACCAATTTAATTCATGTTTTTTCCCTTTAGTAAGTTGTTTTGATTTTTTTTCACTCATTTCTTTTGTAGAAAATTTAAAATGATTTCTTTATTCAGAGGTCAGCTTTTGGGGGCAACTTCAAGAATCATGAACTGTAAGTTCAGAAACATTTCCAGCAATGAGGATGGTCTTTTAAGGTGTGAAGAGTAATGAAAATAGTTGAGAAGGCCAAGACTCCAAAATTATTCCTGTTGTGATAGCATTAATCAGTTCACTATTGGTAGAAAGGGGCCACTCTAATTGACTAGTGATAAGCTAAAAACATTTGAAGAGGGTACAAATGAAAGAATAGAGGAGGAAAGTAAAGAGGAGGCCAAGGGCATGACTGTAGAAATAGGGGCAGGAATTTTAAGTAGTGACAACGCTAGCAAGTAGTGGCATTTTAGTGGCAGAGGTTTAGCTCCCTGCTATATCCATGAATTCCCCAAATAATAATATTATATTTTGATGTGGCCTGCTGTTATTTTCTCATTATTGAAAGTGTGCAAAGGGGTACTTTTGGAATTCATAATATTTTTATTGTTTTATAATATAAAGTAGAAATCTATACTTGCTAGCAAAAAATTGCCTTCAAGAGAAATCCCATGATCACCCCTTCAAGACAAGTCCCATGATCACTAAAGTTGTTGCCATAGACATTTTTCTATGTAGAATTCTGGATCTACCATTGAGGCAATGTTAGAGTTTAATGAAACACTAGCTAAAATTGAAGTGGTAGGGTGAATGATTACTAACTCCATGACAACCCTTTACATATATACTTTAGCAACAGAGGCAGATTACTGAGTAGTTTTGCAGTATGGGGTATAATAACATATGCCTCTCAGTAACACCTAAGGGTCTCACTAATGTTCATTTTCATGATGATGATGACAAAAAGGATCACAACTCTATACTTCATAAAATACACATACACATTGTACGATTCACAACTGTATACTTCATAAAATACTTGCACTTATATCAACCAGTTTTCATGGCAACAGTGATGTAGGTACTATTCCATATTAGAGGTGATGAAATAGGCTCAAAGTACTTAAGTAAGGTATTCAAGATGACTTGACCAGTAAGTGCTGGGGCCATTATTGAACTCCATACTCTTTCCATTGCATCATCATTTCCTGAAATGGTCCTTAAGATGAGAGGAAAGGAGCAATATAGATTTTGGAAGATATACATTACGTGTAATTATAAGGGTAAAAGTTTGGAGGCACATAAACTGATGTAAGCATCAGTTAGCCAAATAGTCCAAGTACTCAACTCCCTCTTTCCTCCAGTAGTAACAGATGGCAGACATTAAGAAGGATTCAGTTTGCATGGTGGTTGAGAATACAGATACTCAAATCAGAAAAATCTGTGTCTGAATACTGGCACAGATGTGACCTTCAGGTAATTCACTTAATGTCTGTAAGCCTATTTCTAAGAGGTAAGAATAAAAATACCTACCTTATGTGGTTCTTTTAGGGTTGAATAAAACAATTAATTAGGCAATGCATGCATTATCTATTATAGTTTACATTTAGTCATTGTAATTATCATTATTGCTATACTGATTAACAGGTATTTTTTAGCATTTGCAAAAAGGAAAGATATTTGTATATTTAGTTATACAAAGAAATAATGAACACTTTCAATATGTTTGCTTTAAGAGACTCAATAGTTGTGATAATAAGGAAGTATATTTTATGGACTTTTTTATGTTGAATGTGTAGTGCTTTCTGAAAAATTGTCTTGAAACAAAGATATTTTTGAAATACTTAGACATCACTAAGATAGTTTCCTTTATTGCATATCACTAAATCAGTTTCTCTTATTGCACCCTGTGACATAAAAATATATATATATTTGGTCCTGTCCCTGTTCCTGACATAGAGCTCCTAAAATCCTTGTAATTTCCTGAGTGATAAGGGTAATAGGAGCATCTTTTCTTAATCTTAATATTTGCTCTTTGTCCCAGGTTCCTGAAGCAGGAGTTTCTAAAATCCTTAGAATCTTTAGCGTGAGTAGAGTATTTTTTGTATGCTAATGAGATGATTTGTGGCTGGGGTCCCTGGACTACAGCTGGCTACCAAAAAGGCCAAGGCATTACTAGAAGATTGGAACTTTCAACCATATCCCTTGACCTTTGGGGAGGAGTTGGAGATTGACTTCATCACCAATGCAGTGGATCCAACATGCCTATGTAAAGAATCCTCTGTAAAAACCCTGAATGGTGGGTTTGGAGTGGTTCTGGGTTGGTGAACACATCAAGGTGCTTAGAGGGTGGTTCACGGGGAAAGGGTATAGAAATTTTGCACCTCTCTCATACCTGGCCCTATGCATGTCTTCCATTTGGCTATTCCTGAGTTGTAGCCTTTATAATAAACTGGTAATAGTAAATAAACGGTTTCCCTGAGTTCAGTGAGTCATTATAGCAAATTTCTGAACCTGAGGAGGGAGTCATGGGAACCCTAGGTTTGTAGCCAAGTCAGACAGAAGTGTGGGTAACCTGGGGAACCACTACTTGTGATTGGTGGCAGAATTGGTCGGGGGGTGGATAGTCTTGTGCAACTAAACCCTTAACCTGTGGGGTCTGTGATAACTCCAGGTAGTTAGTGTCAGAATTGAAATAAATTGTAGGACACCCAGTTGGTGTCCAGAGACTTGGAGGATTGGTTGGTGTAGGGAAAACCACCACGTTTGCTGTCAGAAGTGTGTGAGTGTACAGAAATAGTGTTTTTTCCCTTTCTACCCTCATTATCAGTTGTTGTAGCAAACTACAACAACTGTGAGGGTGAATGGAATAAGATGGGAAGAGGAAATGTGTGATTTAGGGAAGTTTTCATCCAACAGGAAGGAAAAGTTGAGAGCTCTTTAGGCTCTTGAGGGAGTCTAGGGTGGAAGAGGGAATAAAAAGCAGACTCAAGAATCAAGACTGGCCCTTGATGTTAAGATCTTGGATGAAAGGAGGGTAACAAGGAGGAATTAATTTTTTAAGCTCAGTATCCTTATGTGAAACTTCAAAGTTGTCAGAGTCAAATGACAATATATGTGAAAATTACCTAGGTTCTCAGTAAATGATTATTATTAGTATGTATTCTCAATATTTATTTTCAGTAACATTTATTATTGAGAATCAACTACTGTCCAGGAGCTGTTAGGCACGAGGTACACGAAGGTAAAAAAAAACAAAAATATTTATGGTCCCAGCTTTTATGAAGCTAATAAGTAGGGGAAGTCACTATACAAATAAATACATATAAATATATATTAGAAACGTTGGTAAGTGTTTTGAAGGTAAGGAATTGATTGGATAGTATGAAAGAAAAACCAAGGGATCCTAATTTAGGTCATAAGACCTTTTTAAAGAAGTAACCTTTGATTTGAGGCTTGAAGGATGAGCGAGGAGTAAGGAAAGAAGGACCTTGATTAGAAAGCCAAATTATATCTCTCCGTACAACTTCAGTTGCCAAAAAATTCCACTGAGCTCCCAGGATGAAAGCTCACATTTTGGAAGAGGAGCTACTATCAAATAGAATGATTCATGGTCTCCTGAAGAAAACTTTAATCACTAGAATAATTGCATTTTTGCTTTTAAAGGATTGTTAGAGACCATTTAGTTACTCTTGATCAACTTCTAGAAGAGACTTAAGGCAGTGAAATTTTTGCCAAAGGTTTCACAGTCGTTAGTGGAAGAACCAGGACTAGCCTCCATAACTTCCAATCCACTCTTTAACTGAAGTCCACTCTTCGCTATATCACAATTCCTACTCCCTCCCTCCCTTGGGAGCTCTTGTAGGAGACTGCTGGCTTTGACTTCTTTCACCTTAGAAACGTGTATGTTGTAACTCTCTTCTAAACACCTGGCTAGAAAGTAAGGCGTGAGGAAGCCTGTGAAAGCCCTGGACAGTCCAAAGTGTAATGACTTTCTTCTTATCCTCAAAGTGCACAGTATGGTAAGGGGGCAGATAGATGTCCGGAGGGGAAAAGACTCAACAAGCCACAGGGTGAGATTTTTATCTTGTTCCAGTGGTGACTGCTGCAGTTTAATTAGGGAACACATGATACTCAGTAAATATCTGTGGAAATATTCTGGAATGCCCTTTGGAACATTTATCAAAAGCTTTAACACTGTTTATAACTTTTGACATACCAATTAAACATTTGGGGATTTGTTCTAAGAAAATGATAAGAAATGAAGTAGTTGTTACATGCAAAAATGTCCATCACAGTATTATTTACATTGTCAAAAAAAAATGAAACAAATGGCCATCAATAAGGAAAAGATTAAGTAACTTATGGTTCATGCATTAGACGAAATTGTGGAGCCATTAAAATGATGGCTATGGAGCTATTTTAATTATACAAAGAAGGCTCATAATATAAAATTAACTAAAAAGTAGAGTTATGGAAGAAAATAAAAATATGGTCTCAGTTATGTAAAAATATGTTTTTATGTATAAAGGAAAATACATGATGTTTTTTCTCTAAGTTGTGGAATAATAGGTAACTTTTATTTTTTTCTATCCTTGTCCATATTTTCTAAATTTTCCAAAATGAGTATGTAGACTAATCAGAAAAAAATAACTCCATGTAACAGCTATTTAAAACAATTCGTATTGGTTCATATCATCAGAAATTTTGGTATGGAGAACTTACAGGCAAATTTGAGGTCAGTGAATCCCCTACTGATTATACATGTGTTTGTAATGCACCCAAGTGGCACAACAAGAAGTAATCTTGTCGACATTAAACACTGAATCAGAAGCAAGGGCTTGTGATATGCTGAAAAAACTTAACTATCATGATATCATCAAACTTTAGTTTTGAATACTCTTCGTAGCCAAATGACTGCAGTGGTGCTGGGGCTAAGAACATTCAGTGTATTTATTTCCTCATTATTTTCATTGATTTTGCGAAGGATGGACCTTGTAGATTTTCCCGTTAATATTATGGTCAAGAGTTAGTCAAAGCGGGCCCGAATCTGAACTTCTGTCCACTTCAGTTCCACTGTCAGCAGCCATTGACTTGCTACATGTGTGCTGTTAAGAATTGACATGAGTACTTTCTAAAAATATTTTTCTTTGTTCTGGAACCATAAACTTAGGCAAAACATTTTGACCCATAAGACCTTGGTAGAATCAAGTAAGCAACTCTCTGTGTGAGTTAGCATGGTTGACAGAGTAAAGTGTTCTCTTAGTTTGTTCTCCAAAGGGTTAATGAGTGGCTTTGCAACATCTGGTGTGATGGTCCTCTCTGTAGGAGGGAAGGCCATCAGAGGGCAATGGAGCATTTGTCTGGTGACTTGTGTGCCACCTATTATTTTTCCAAGGTAAAGGAGTCAATCACTCTGTTAATGTTTATTGGGCACTTGCTTTCTGCAAACCTTGTGCAATAACTATTCAGAGAAAAAAGTCAAAGAAACAGAAGTGGGACCAAAAGTGTTTCACATTTTTAATTTTTTTCAGATTTTGAATACTTTCATTATACTTACTGATTGAGCATTGCTAATCTGAAAACCCAAGATATGAAATACTCCAATAAGCATTTCCCTTGAGCATCATGTTGGTGCTCAAAACATTTCAAACTTAGGAGCATTTTAG
This sequence comes from Homo sapiens, assembly GCF_000001405.40. Classification (NCBI taxonomy): domain Eukaryota; kingdom Metazoa; phylum Chordata; class Mammalia; order Primates; family Hominidae; genus Homo; species Homo sapiens. The sequence continues at coordinate 31,193,354 of NC_000011.10, read as the reverse complement.
ATTTCAAATTTTCAGATTAGGGATACTTAACCTGTAGTTTAGTTGAGGGAGACAGTCCTTGTATTAGGGTTCTCCAGAGAAACAGAAACAATAGCATATATAAAGATATAGATATATAAGAGAGGATTGATTTGTTATGGTAATTGGCTTCTGTTAATATGGAGGAAAAGAAGTCTCATGATATGCCATCTGCAAACTAGAGAACCAGGAAAGCCAGTGATGTAATTCAGTCTGAGTCCAAAGGCCGAGAACCAGCAGAGACAATGGTGTAACTCTCAGTCTGAAACTGAAGGCCTGATAACTTAAGGCAACTTGTTTAAGTTCCAGGGTCCAAAGACTTGAGAACTTGGAGTTGTGATGTCCGAGAGCAGGAGAAGATGGATGTCCCAGCTCCAGAAGAGAGAACAAATTTACCTTCCTTCTACTTTTTTGTTCTATCCAGGACCTCAAGGAATTGTATGATGATCACTTACATTGATGAGTGCAGATCTTCTTTACTCAGTCTGCTGATTTAAATGCAAATCTCTTCCTGAAACTGTCCCAGACAAAACCGGAAATAATGTTTTACCAGCTGTCTGGGCATCCCTTATCCCACTCAAGTGGACACATAAAAACTAACCATCAGAGTCTTATAGATGAATCATTCAATATGCTGCAACAATTGCTGTAGCATAGGGTCTGAAAACAAGGTACTATGGTAGTACAGAGAAGGGAATGACACATTTTCCATATGTGTGTGTATATGTGTATGTATGCATATCATCAGAGAAGGCTTACTAGAATATATGATGTTTAAACTAAATTGTGAAGCATGATTAGGCCTTAGGGAAGGTGAGAGGGAACTCTGGGCAGAGGTACCAACTTCTGTCAAAGAGCAGTGGCTTACTGGTAGAGCAGTGGTGCATATGGGGACTTCTAAATACTGACTTGACATAGTTGAATCATACAGTTCAATGAAGAGAAATGGTGGGACACACAGTTGGAAAGGTAGCCAACATTGGGTCAATAGGTCCTTGGTATCATGCGAAGGGGTTTTTCCTTGAAGGGTTTTATTTAGAAAATGATGGGATTAGATTTGAACTTCTAGGAAAAAAAGTTGTCAATACAGGAGTGGATAAGTCAGTGTGGGCTAATTTTGGAAGCAGAAAGAACAGTTAGAACGCTATGGCAATAATCCAAGTGAGTGCTGGTGAGGTCCTAACGGTGAGAGTGAGGATTAAGAGATAGGAAAAGATTCGAGAGATTTTGGTGAGCCACAGTTGGTGGGACTTAGTGATTACCTGGATAAGGAAAGGGAAGGCATGGCTCCCTGGTTTCTGGTTTGTATGATAAGATTGTGCCATTTATCCAAGTAGGGAAGCCTATCTGCTTACTGAGGTCCTACCATGTGCTGGACATGCCAAGAGATACAATGAAGTTTAAAATATAGCCTCTACTTATTCGTAATATAAACTTCTTTACAATAATGTATACTGGAGAGGTGGAATAGAGTGTAAGAGGCATGATAGATAAAGGAAAATGTATGACCAAGCAAAAGTAGATAGATGGAAATGAATATGGTGAATTCTCAATACCGTGAGAAGGCCTACTAGACTGGAGCAAAGCCTACAACCTCTCCATTCTTTATCTTTTCACTTCTTTGTTTCTGTTGAAACCCAACCCTCCATGGACATCACTCTTTCTCATGACCTTTATTTGAATTTGTTCTTTTATCCATTTCCCACCCCCTACCACCCACACTCATGATTTAATGAGAACTGATTAACACCTATAGTCTATCCATTAATCTTGTACCATTATCAATCAACAAAATTTCCCTTTTAGAGTTCATACTGCTCATCTCTACCACCTTTTCCATACCTTTTGATATTGTCTGTGGACCTCTAGGACTCTCTTCTGTCTTCCTTGATAATATTTGCTGCAAGGTTTTATATGTATGGCATAAGCTAAATCATAAATCATGCTAAAGGGAATACTAGTAGAAGTGTTATTATTAAAGGAAAAAATTGAAAGACAAATGATAGACCAGAAACAAAATTTTCCACACATAGACAAAGGCCTAATTTATGAACATAGTAGGCTTTCTGTATCCATGGGTTCCACATCCATGGATTCAGCCAACCATGGATCAAAAATTGTTAGAAAAAAAATGGATGGTTACATTTGTACTGAACATGTACAGATCTTTATTTGGTCATTATTCCCTAAACAACACAACATAACTGATAACAATCACTTCCTAGAATAGTGTCTGATGCATAACAACTATTTACATAGCATTTACATTCAATTAAGTATAAGTTATCTAGGGATTATTTAAAGTATATGGGAGGATGTACCTAGGCTGTATGCAAATACTGCACCATTGATATAAAGAACTTGAGAATCCTTAGATTTTGGTATCCAGGTCCTGGAACTAATCCCCATGAATACGAAGGGATGACTGTGTGTAGAGTTCTTTCAAATTAATAAATAGATGGAAAGTAGAAAAATGGTCTAAGATTATAAGCAGTAAGTTCATAGAAAAAAAGAAATCACAAATGGCCATTAAAATATTAAGTAATGTTAATTGAGCTCAGATAATTTAAAAATGAAAATCAAAACACAACATAAGCTTTTACCTAACAATATGATAAAGATTTTAAAGTTTGCTCACACCTGGAGTTGATAAGAGTGTGAGTAAAATAGATATTTCTACACACTGTTAGTGGGATTGTAAATCAGGGTAAATTTTTTGGACAGTGATTTGGCACTGTGTATCAGAATGAGGATTTGTGTTAAGTATTTGAAGCAAGATGTTCAGTGTCATTCATTATAGCAGTGTTTGCAATTACAATTTGGAAACAACCTAAATGCCCATTAATAGGGAACTACTTGAATTAGGGTAAATATTTAAATATTATTCTGTGTATTGATACTAAGTCACATATATGCAGTGATTAACATGATCCTGAATAAATATTACTTCCACTTTGCTTTTGCTATCAATGTTGCATCTGAGTTCAAATTTTTGCCCTGTTATTTATAATTGTGTGACCTTGAACAAATTATTTATCTGCTCAGCCTCAGTTTCCAGATCTATAAATGTAGATAATGTAACTAACCTTTTGGTTGTTTGGATGATCAGATAATATAATAAGTTAGGCACCTTGCATGTAACTAACAAATAAGAATTCTTCTTATATTCCTAGCTGACTCGTGAGGTAAAGTATGTGCTATCTTCATCATGTTAAATAAGTGATACCCTGATGTTCTTTACACTGATTCAGTGAAACACACCCTTAAAATAGTGGTTCAATATTTCCAACCATTTTGTATTACTCGTCACTATATTTATAGAGTTGTCTGAGAATAAGACCAACATCTAGAGCTCTTCAATATCTCTGATTATATCAGTCAACTTTGGTAAATGTGGTAGGCCAAATAATGGCACTTCAAAGATGTTCATGTTCTCATTTCTCAAACCTGTGAATATGTTAGTGATATGGCTGATGGGACTTTGCAGATGCAATGAAGTTAAGGGTCTTGAAATGAGGAGGCTATCCTGGATTATCCATGAGGGCCCTGTGTAATCACAAGAGTCCTTATAAGAGGGAGGCAGGAGTTTCAGAGTCAGAGAAGGGGATGTGATGATGGAAACACAGGGAGAGAGAGTGATGTGATGACAGAAGCAAAGGTTGAAGTGATGAGGGGCCACCAGTGAAGGAAAGCTGACAGCCTCTAGAAGCTGGAAAAGGCAAGGAAACAGGTTCTCCCCTGCAACCTACAGAAGGTTTACAACTCTGCCAACCCATTTTAAACTTCTGATCTCCAGAGCTTTCAGATAATTAATTTGCATGGTTTTGAGCCACTAACTTTGAGATGATATGTTACAGCAGCCATAGAAGACTAATATAGTGGATGTTTCAGTCCTGAGATAAGAAGGTATTATGAAAAAACAGAGATCACAGATGGATGGTAGTTTAAACTTTACATTGGAGTGTTTAGTTCAATAGCAGTATGGTTGCAGAAGTTACATTTGTTAGACTATAGGGGACATTATCTACTTTTCCAATGTGTGAAATTAACACATTTTAGATTTCGTGTGCCTTTGGAGTGATGTAATAGCATTCTCATATTTGGGTCCTTTCCATGGCCTTGGATAATTAACTATTATGAAGAACTTAATCATACTATCTCTCATTGTCTTAGTACATTTGCGCCGCTATAACAAAAACACCTTAGACTGAGTAATTTATAAACAACGAAAATTTATTACTTATAGTTTTGGTGGCTGAGAAGTACCAGATGAAGGCACCAACAAATTCGGTGTCTGATGAGGGCTTGCTCTCTGCTCCAAAGATGGCACCTTCTTGGCTGCATCCTCACATGGTGGAGGGGATGAACAAGCGGCTTTAGGTCTCTCATAAAAGGGTACTGACCCCATTCATGAGGGTAAAGCCCTCATGACACAATCACCTTCCAAAGGCCTCACTTCATAATACTATTGCATTGAGGATTTAGGTTTCAACATATGAATTTTGCAGGGACACACACATTTTCAGACCATAGCACTCATCTTGCCTTGAATGGTGAAAATTCTTTCTCATTTAGCCTTGGATGGTGAAAAATTTATCATGAACTATAAATACATTGTAGTCCAGCCTTTGGGAAGCACTGCTCTAAGGCAGAACCAGCCCAGTGTTTGTGTATCTGATATCTGTCAGTAAGTACCTGTTTGTTTGGTATACATGGCACCCAATGTCAGAGTGTTTGGGCTATATGATAATACAGCTCATTTGACATGGTTCTACTGAAAATGTCATATTTGGCCTTTGGAACAATTACATCATCATCTCAGAATTATATATTCTATGGTAAGTTGTTTACGTACGCCCTTGTTGTCTGCCTTTCTGTTCTATAATTTAAGCTCCACGAGAGCAGAGGCTTTGTCTTGTTATCTGTGGCATCTCTAGTTCCTGATGCGTAGATGCACTAAAGAAATTCATTTTTTTGAATGAATGAATGAATTTTATAGTCTTAATGCTGCAATGGATAATGGGCTTCTATTCAATTGATTGATGCCTGGAAGTGCCAAAATAGAATAGGAAGGGGGGCCTTAGAGCAGGAAGCCGTTTACTATCTCTGTTGTTGTAGGCATGACTTGTTAAACCTCTTCATTTCTGCTTCGTTTTAAAATTCCTGAGAATATACCTACTGTACAGGGTTGTCATCAGATTAAATGAGGTGATAGAACTGGGTACAGTGGTGCAGGCTTATAGTCCCAGCTATTTGAGGCAGGAGGATCCCTTGAGCTCAGAGGTTCGAATCCTTCCTCCTCAATATAGCCAGACTATCTCCAAAAAGGAAAAAAAATTAAAAAAGATTAGATGAGGTGTTATAAATGCAATTGCTGTGCAATTATAACAATATCAAGTATTATTATTATAAATGGGTTACTCAGTCTTTATTAATGCTTCCTTCTTTACTTGAAACAGCTGGTGAAAACAAAATGGGCCATTATTTGGCGAAGGGATGGGTTCCTATCACTTTGTGTTAGTGATGAATGATTAGTGATTAGACTATGAATCCTCAGCTGTGTAAACAATGAAACAAATATTGTTGGATTTTTTTTAACCAGCTCTGTGAAGGTTAGTAACTGGATCCTTTGATTTCCTAACTAGTGTTGGACTTCAATTTGCTAAAAAACATCAGCTTTATTTTATACTGCTATGTGAAGTCTATGGTCAAGGAATCCAGATAGTTTATTTGATTTCTTTTTGGTTTTCTAACATACAAACACTTGTCAGTCTATATTTTTAACCTTAAAGAATCATTTTTATGATGTTCCAATTAAGTTTTTTTTTGTTTGTTTGTTTGTTTTGCTTTCAGGAAGAGGTTGTGACTATGAGCTTCTAGTGACTTCTTGTTCTTGCCAATAATTTCCTGTCATTGATCTTGCCAGTGCTTTCCAATTTATTAATCAGTCAAACATTATTTTTTTGAGAGCAGCTGTATGCTAGGTATTATGCTAGGCCTTGGCAACATAGCAGTCAACAAGATAGAGTTAGTTCCATTAAATCTCCAGTTACCTTTGCAGTCAAATTGGCATGCACCAATGGCATTAGATACTGTGCTGTTGTGGTCTTATTCATTCAACAAATATTTACTAAGTACCTACTATGTGTCAGGCACTGTTCACAGCCCTAGTGAACAAGACAAATAAAGTGTTCTCAAACAAGTTCCAAATTTTTACATTCTGGATATGTATGTTGAAGTGGGGGTTTAGGGGCCAGTGAGGCTGGAGTTAAAGAAAATATCAGGAAGTGAATGAAAATAGTGTCACTGTTTTACGCTGGGCTCTCTAGAAAACAGACCCTGAGATAAAATCGTGCATGATAATGCTTTACTGAGGGCACCATAACAGGGAAGCAAGAGTGAGGGAAAAATGGGAGAGGCAGAGGAGGGAAAGCCAATTCAAAGGGATGCATTACCAAACTGGCCACAGATTTGCAACAGATATAATTGGATGCTAGTCTTGAAGGATGTTTCCAGAGAAGCTGTATGAAGCTGCTGCATCTCAGAATGGCATGGAAGGGTGGGGTAATAAGGCTGGAAATTGATCTGCTGCTTCTTTGCCATCTCCAGTCTTCCATAGGACTCTAACTGCCCTGCAAGTCCCTGCCAGCAGCTTCTGGTGAAGCCAGATTCAACCCAGTAGGCAGGCATGGTGGCCATTGCTTGTTAATTGGCACTGTCTGTGGGGCTTTTTGGCCTCTGAGGGCGGCAGTGGTGCCCATGGTCAGGGCTTTATGACTGGAGGAACTAGTATGAGTGGCACTGAGGCTGTTCTGGAAAGAAAGCAAGGCTATGGCTGAGGACCCAAGGTGGCAAGGCACAGAGGTAGGTAGGCCTCATGGGTCTGTGGTGGGACACAAACTGGATGCAGTACAGTTAAGTTATACAGTGGGTGAGTGGCTGCTCAAGGAGGCCCTCTGCGAGGAAGTAGCAATTCAGCTAAAACCTGAAAGATAAAGATAGTCTAGTCAAGCTGGGGGAATAAGGAACAGCTAGTGCAAAAGACCCCAGATAAAATGAGTAAGGAGAGTTTGTGGAGGAACAAGGAGAGTATGGCTAAGTGAGTGTTGGAGAGAGTGGAGAGGGCTGAACTCTGAGAAACAAGAGAGGGCCAGGTCACATGAAGCCAGTAGGCCAGCTTGAGGAGTTTGGATTTTATTGTAAGTGTAGTGGAAAGCCTTTGAGCACCTAAACAAAGGGGTTAAGTGAGCTGATGTATGTTTCAGGAAGGTCTCCCTGGCTCTTCTGGGGAGAATGGATGGAGGAGTGGAAGCAGGGAAACCAGTGAGGAGGTATTTGAGAGCATTATCTAAACGAGAAAATGAAGGGCATATTAGCACCAATTTGCTATATTCATAGTTGTATTTTGGCTTAACATGTTTGATATACTTATTTAAATGACCAGTGATGCTGATGGTTGTCCCTTGAAGCTTCAGGTTCAGTGTATTGACAGGATCAGATTATCTACTTAAAGTTCTAAGCTGTTCCTAGGTGATCCATTTTAAAAGCAGCTGGTCTTTTGCATGGCAACTCTAGCCTTCAGTCTGTATGTAATGCTAGCAAAGCACCTTTACCTTTGACAACAAACAAAACTTGGTGTGGGATATAACTTTGTGATTGGCATCCAAATCTTAAAGCAAGGCAGAAAACCAGGTTTTGACATATTGTTTTATTTTATTTTCCACACAATTGACCACCTGACAGTGAGTCTAAAACCTTCTTGCAGGTTGCTGAGCAGAGTTTTGGAAGCTAAAGTTGGTGGTGAATGATGCAGAGAATTGAAAAAATGGGAGTATTTCTCCACTGACTCTAACTATATGTCTTTCCTTTTTTCTGCTAATCTTTATTTTATTTTCTTATTTTTATTTTATTTATTTATTTTCTTTTTTATTATATTTTAAGTTCTGGGCTATAGGTGCAGAAAGTGCAGGTTTGTTACATAGCTATACACGTGCCATCGTGGTTTGCTACACCCATCAACCCGTCATCTACATTAGGTATTTCTCCTAATGCTGTCCCTCCCTTAGCCTCCCAACCCCCAACAGGCCCCTGTGTGTGATGTTCTCCTCCCTGTGTCCCTGTGTTCTCATTGTTCAACTCCCACTTATGAGTGAGAACACGCAGTGTTTGATTTTCTCTTCTTGTGTTAGTTTGCTGAGAATGATGGTTTCCAGCTTTATCCATGTCCCTGCAAAGGACATGAACTCACCCTTTTTTATGGCTGCATAGTATTCCATAGTGTATATGTGCCACATTTTCTTTATCCAGTCTATCATTGATGGGCTTTTGGGTTGGTTCCCAGTCTTTGCTATTGTGAATAGTGCCACAATAAACATATGTGTGCATGTGTCTCTATAGTAGAATTATTTATAAACCTTTGGGTATATACCCAGTAATGGGATTGCTGGGCCAAATGGTATTTCTGGTTCTAGATCCTTGAGGATCTGTCTTCCACAATGGTTGAACTAATTTACACTCCCACCAGCAGTGTAAAAGCATTCCTATTTCTCCACATCCTCTCTAGCATCTGTTGTTTCCTGACTTTTTAATGATCACCATTCTAACTGGTGTGAGATGGTATCTCATTGTGGTTTTGATTTGTATTTCTCTAATGACCAGTGATAATGAGCTTTTTCCATATGTTTGTTGGCTGCATAAATGTCTTCTTTTGGGAAGTGTGTTCATATCCTTTTTCCACTTTTTGATAGGGTTGTTTTTTTTCTTGTAAATTTGTTTCTGGATATTAGCCCTTTGTCAGATGGATAGATTAGAAAACTTTTCTTCCATTCTGTGGGTTGCCTGTTCACTCTGATGATAATTTCTTTTGCTGTGCAGAAGCTCTTTAGTTTAATTAGATCCCATTTGTCAATTTTGACTTTGGTTGTCATTGCTTTTGGTGTTTTAGTCATGAAGTCTTTGCCCATGCCTATATCCTGAATGGTATTGCCTAGGTTTTCTTCTAGGGTTTTCATGGTGTTAGGTCTTACGTTTAAGTCTTTAATCCATCTTGAGTTAATTTTTGTATAAGGTGTAAAGAAGCGGTCCAGTTTCAGTTTTCTGCATATGGCTAGCCAGTTTTCCCAATACCATTTATTAAATAGGGAATCCTTTCCCCATTGCTTGTTTTTTGTCAGGCTTGTCAAAGATCAGATGGTTGTAGATGTGTGGCGTTATTTCTGAGGCATCTGTTCTGTTCCATTGGTCTGTATATCTGTTTTGGTACCAGTACAATGCTGCTTTGGTTACTGTAGCCTTGTAGTATAGTTTGAGGTCAGGTAGCGTGATGCCTCCAGCTTTGTTCTTTTTGCTTAGGATTGTCTTGGCTATATGGTCTCTTTTTTGGTTCCATATGAACTTTAAAGTAGGTTTTTCTAATTCTATGAAGAAAGTCAATGATAGCTTGATGGAGATAGCATTGAATCTGTAAATTACTTTGGGCAGTATGGCCATTTTCACGATATTGATTCTTCCTATCCATGAACATGGAATGTTTTTCCTTGAGCATCCAATGTTTGTGTCTGCTCTTATTTCCTTAAGCAGTGGTTTGTAGTTCTCCTTGAAGAGGTCCTTCATATCCCTTGTAAGTTGTATTCCTAGGTATTTTATTCTCTTTGTAGCAATTGTGAATGGGAGTTCACTTACGATTTGACTCTCTATTATTGGTATATAGGAAGGCTTGTGATTTTTGCACATTGATTTTGTATCCTAAGACTTTGCTGAAGTTGCTTATCAGCTTAAGGAGATTTTGGGCTGAAACAATGGGGTTTTCTAAATATACAATCATGTCATCTGCAAACACCCAGTAGTCATCCAGGAGCAGATTGTTCAGTTTCCATGTAGTTGTGCAGTTTTGAGTGAGTTTCTTAATCTTGAGTTCTAATTTGATTGTGCTGTGGTCTGAGAGACTGTTTGTTATGATTTCCATTCTGCATTTGCTGAGGAGTGTTTTACTTCCAATTATGTGGTCAATTTTAGAATAAGTGTCACGTGGTGCTGAGAAGAATATATATTCTGTTGATTTGGGGTGGAGAGTTCTGTAGATGTCTATTAGGTCCACTTGGTCCAGAGCTGAGTTCAAGTCCTGAATATCCTTGTTATTTTTCTGTCTCATTGATCTAATATTGACATTGGGGTGTTAAATCTCTCACTATTATTGTGTGGGAGTCTAAGTCTCTTCGTAGATCTCTAAGAACTTGCTTTATGAATCTGGGTGCTCCTGTATTGGGTGCATATATGTTTAGGATAGTTAACTCTTCTTGTTGCATTGATCCCTTTACCATTATATAATGCCCTTCTTTGTCTTTTTTGATCTTTGTTGGTTTAAAGTCTGTTTTATCAGAGATTAGGATTGCAACCCCTGCTTTTTTTTTGCTTTCCATTTGCTTGGTAAGTATTCCTCCATCCCTTTATTTTGAGCCTATTTGTGTCTTTGCACATGAGATGGGTCTCCTGAATACAGCACACCTATGGGTCTTGAATCTTTATTCAGCTTGCCAGTCTGGGTCTTTTATTTGTGGCATTTAGCCCGTTTACATTTAAGGTTAATATTCTTATGTGTGAATTTGATCCTGTCATTATGATGCTAGCTGCTTATTTTGCCCGTTAGTTGATGCAGTTTCTTCATGGTGTTGACGGCCTTTACAATTTGGTATGTTTTTGCAGTGGCTGGTACTGTTTTGTTGTTGTTGTTGTTGTTGTTTTGTTTTTACATATTTAGTGCTTCCTTCAGGAGCTCTTGTAAGGCAGGCCTGGTTGTGACAAAATCTCTCAACATTTGCTTGTCCATAAAGTACTTTATTTCTCCTTTGCTTATGAAGCTCCATTTGGCCAGATATGAAATTCTGGGTTGAAAATTATTTCCTTTTAGAATGTTGAATATTTGCCCCCAATCTCTTCTGCCTGGTAGGGTTTCTGCAGAGAGATCTGCTGTTAGTCTGATGGGCTTCCCTTTGTGGATAACCCCACCTTTCTCTCAGGCTGCCTTCATTTCAATCTTGGTGTATCTGACGATCATGTGTTTAGGGGTTGCTCTTCTCGAGGAGTATCTTTGTGGTGTTCTCTGTATTTCCTGAATTTGAGTGTTGGCCTGTCTTGCTAGGTTGGGGAAGTTTTCCTGGATAATGTCCTGAAGAGTGTTTTCCAACTTTGTTCCATTCTCCTTGTCAATTTCAAGTATACCAATCAAACGTAGGTTTGGTCTTTTCACATAGTCCCATATTTCTTGGAGGCTTTGTCTGTTCCTTTTCATTCTTTTTTTCTGTAATGTTGTTTTCACACTTTATTTCATTAAGTTGATCTTCAATGTCTCATATCCTTTCTTCAACTTGATTGATTCAGCTATTGATCCTTGTATATGCTTCACAAAGTTCCCATGCTGTGTTTTTCAGCTCCATCAGGCCATATATGTTCTTTTCTAAACTGGTTATTCTAGTTAGCAATTTGTCTAACCTTTTTTTCAATGTTCTTAGCTTCCTTGTATTGGGTTAGAACATGCTCATTCTGGTTTTTGGAATTTTCAGCCGTTTTGTGCTGGTTTTTCCTCATCTTTGTGGATTTATCTACCTTTGGTCTTTGATGCTGGTGACCTTAGGGTGGGCTTTCTGTGTGGACATCCTTTTTGTTGATGTTGATACTATTTCTTTCTTTTTGTTAGTTTTCCTTTTACCAGTCAGGCCCCTCTGCTGCAGGTCTGTTAGAGTTTGCTGGAGGTCCACTCCAGACCCTGTTTGCCTGGGTATCACCAGCGGAGTCTGCAGAACAGCAAAGACTGTGGCCTGTTCCTTCTTCTGGAAGTTTCGTCCCAGAGGGGCACCCACCAGATGCCAGCTGGAGCCCTCCTGTATGTGGTGTCTGTCAACCCCTGTTGGGTGATATCTCCCAGTCAGGAGGCATGGGGGTCAGTGACCCACTTGAGCAGGCAGTCTGTTCCTTAGCAGAGCTCAAGCACTGTGTTGGGCAGTCCGCTGCTCTCTTCAGAGCTGGTAGGCAGGAATGTTTAAGTTGGCTGAAGCTGTACCCACAGCCTCCCCTTCCCCCAGGTGCTCTGTCCCATGGAAATGGGAGTTTTATCTATAAGCCCCTGACTGGAGCTGCTGCCTTTCTTTCAGATATGTCCTGCCCAGAGAGGAGGAATCTAGGGAGGCAATCTGGCCACCGTGGCTTTGCTGAGCTGCAGTGGCCTCTGCCCAGTTTTAACTTACCGGCGGCTTTGTTTACAATGTGAGGGGAAAACCACCTACTCAAGCTTCAATAAGGGTGGATGCCCCTCACCCCACCAAGCTTGAGCATCCAAAGTCGACTTCAGCCTGCTGTGCTGGCAGTGAGAATTTCAAACCAGTGGATCTTAGCTTGCTGGGCTCCGTGGCGGTGGGATCTGCTGAGCTAGACCACTTGTCTCCCTGGCTTCAGTTCCCTTTCCAGGGAAGTGAACAGTTCTGTCTCACTGGTGTTCCAATTGCCACTGGGGTATGAAAAAAAAAACAACAAAAAAACTCCTGCAGCTAGCTCAGTGTCTGCCTAAACAGCTGCCCAGTTTTGTGCTTGAAACCCACGGTCCTGGTGGCGTAGGCACCTGAGGGAATCTCCTGGTCTGTGGGTTGCGAAGGCCATGGGAAAATCATAATATCTGGGCTGGAGTGCACCATTCCTCACAGCACAGTCTCTCAAGGCTTCCCTTGGCTAGTGGAGGGAGTTCCCCAACCCTCTGTGCTTCCCGGCTGAGGCAATGCCCCACCCTGCTTCAGCTCACCCTCCATGGTCTGCTCCCACTGTCTAACCCGTCCCAATGAGACGAGATGGGTACCTCAGTTGGAAATGCAGAAATCACCCGCTTTCTGCATTGATCTCACTGAGAGCTGCAGACCGGAGCTGTTCCTATTCGGCCATCTTGCCAGCCCCCCAATTTAATGTTTTGATATATATCTATGTTATATAATGATCCAATCAGGGTAGTTTGATAATAAATCCATCATGTCATACATTAATTATTTCTTTGTGGTGAGAATATTCAAAAGCCTGTCTTCTAGCTATTTTGTAATATACAATATTTTGCTGTTAGCCATAGTTACCTACTGTGCAGTAGAATACCGGTATTTATTCATTCTATCTAATTGTAACTTTATACCCATTGGCTAGCTTCTCCATCTTCCTCTCATTCCTTACCCATTGAAGTATGTTCCTTCAGTGTCTAAGTTTGTTGGGAGTTTTTATCATGAAGGGATGTTTAATTTTACCAAATGCTTTTTCTGTGTCTATTGAGATGATCATATGGTTTTGTCCTTCATTCTGTTGTTGTCATGTTTATTGATTTGCATATGTTGAATCACCCTTGCATTCCTGGGATAAATCCTACCTGATTATGGTGTGTTATCTTTTCAATGTGCTGTTGGATTTGGCTTGCTAATATCTTGTTGAGAATTTTTGCATCTATGTTTTTCAGAGATAATGACCTGTAGTATTTGTTGTTGTTGTTGTTGTGTCTTTGTCTGGTTTTGAAACCAGGGTAATGCTGGCCTCATAAAATGAGTTTGGAAATATTTTTTCCTCTTCAATTTTCTGGAAGAGTTTGAGAATTGGTATTAGTTCTTTAAATATTTGATGGAATTCAGCAGTGAGGCCATCCAATCCTGGGATTTTCTTTGGTAACTACTGTTCTTCTCTCTTTGATATCAACTTTAAGTAAAAAAGATCCCACATAGGAGTGAGATCATATGGTATTTGTCTATCTGTGATTGGCTTATTTCACTTAACATGATGTCTAGATTCATTCACATTGTCACAAATGACAGCATTTCCTTCTTTTTAAAGGTTGAATAATATTCCATTGTTTATGCATACTACATTTTCTTTATTCATTTATCTGTTGTTGGACGCTTAGGTTGATTCTGTATTTTGGCTGTTGTGAATAGTGCTACAATAAACGGGAGTACAGATTGTCTTGGACATAGTTATTTCATTCTGTTTTGATATATATCCAATAATGGGATCACTGGATCATATGGTAGTTCTATGTTTAATATTTTGAGGAACCTTCATAGTGTAGTAGTAGTTTTCAATCCCACCAACAGTATGTAGGTTTTCCTTTTCCCTTTTCTCCACATCCCAGCTAACACTTGTTTTCTTTTCTCTTTTTGGTGACAGTCATTCTAACTAGAGGAAGGTGGTATATATCATTGTGAGTTTGGTTTGCATTTACCTGATGATTATTAGTGGTGTTGAGCATTTTTTTTCATATACCTGTCAGCCGTTTTTATATTCTCTTTTGAGAAGTAGTTACTAAGGTCCTTTGCCCATTTAAAAACTTGGGTTGGCTGGGCGCGGTGGCTCACATCTGTAGTTCCAGCACTTTGGGAAGCTGAGGTGGGCAAGTCACAAGGTCAGGAGTTTGAGACCAGCCTGGCAAACATGGTGTAACCACGTCTCTACTAAAAATACAAAAATTAGCCAGGTGTGGTGGCAGGCGCCTGTAATCCTACCTACTCGGGAGGCTGAGGCAGGAGAATTGCTTGAACCCAGGAGGTAGAGGTTGTGGTGAGCTGAGATCGCGCCACTGCATTCCAGCCTGGGTGACAGAGCAAGACTCCGTCTCAGGAAAAAAAAGAAAAATTGCGTTATTTTGTTTTTTATTGTTGAGTTGTTTAAGTTGTTTTTATATTCTGGATATTAACCCCTTGTCAGATGTATAGTTTAAAAATATTTTCTCCTATTCTGTAGGTTGTCTCTTCATTTTGTTAACAGTTTCCTGTGCTGTGGAAAAGCTTTTTAGTTTGATGTAATTTCATTTGTCTATTTTTACTTGTCTGCGCTTTTGAGTTCTTATTTTAAAAATCTTTGCAGAGCCCAATGTCATGAAGCATTTCCTCTTTGTTTTCTTCTAGTAGTTTCAGGCTTTACATTTTTGTTTTTAATCCATTTTGAGTTAATTTTTGTGAAAGGTAGGATCTAATCTCACTCTTCTGCATGTGAATATCCAATTTGCTTAGCACCATTTATTGACAAGATTTTCTTTTCTACAATGTGTATTCTTGGCAACATAGTCGAAAATCACGTGACTGTGGGTGCATGAATTTATTTATGGGCTCTCTACTCTGTTTCATTGGTCTGTGAGTCTGTTTTTATGCCAGGACCATGCTATTTTAGTAATATAGCTGGTTACAACTTGTTTTGTGGCCTAACATGTGATCTGTTCTGGAGATGTTTCATGTGCCATTGAGACAAATGTATATTCTGCAGCTGTTTTATGAAATGTTTTGTAAATATCTGTTTGGTCCATTTCGTCTCTGTTGCAGTTTAAGTCTGATGTTACTTTGTTGATTTTTTTTGTCTAGATGATCAATGGTGTGTTGATTACATAGCAGTGTATTGAAGTTCCCTACTATTATTGCATTGCAGTTTATCTCTCCTTTTAGATCTAGTAATATTTGCTTTACATATGTGGGGGCTCCAGTGTTGGATGTATTTATATTTATAATTGTTATATCTTCTTGTTCAATTGAGCCCTTTATTATTATATTGTAATCTTCTTTGTCTCTTTTTACAGTTTTTGACTTAAAATCTATCTTATCTGGTATAAGAATGTCTACTCTTGCTGCTTTGGTTTCCATTTTCATGGAATGTTATGTGCCATCCCTCCACTTTCAGTCTATATTTGTCTTTAACTGTGAGGCGAGTCTCATGTAGGCAGCATAGAGTTGAATCTTGTTTCTTTACTCAATTCAGCCACTCTATATGTTTTAGTCAGAGAATTTAATCCATTTATATTGAAGATTATTACTGATGGATAAGGACTTACTCCTACAGTTCTCTTAATTGTTTTCTGGTTGTTTTGTAAATCTCTTGCTTATTTCTTTTTTTCTTGTTTTGTTTTGTTTTTATTTTCTTTTTTCTCTTCATCTCAGTCTTAAAATTATTTATTCAAAGATGCATTTTTGTTTTTTTACCTCTGTGGTTTGGTGGTTTTCTGTGGTGCTAAGCTTTTTTTTCCCCCTACTTTCTTATTTGTCCATTTGCTATACTTTCTTTCTTTGTCATTATCATGGGGCTAACATAAAGAGTTTTATAGTTAATAACGGATTGTTTAAACCTGAAAGCAAATCGCCTTTGGTCTCATAAAAATATTCTAGACTCCCCCCTCCTCCCAACAATTTATATTTGTGTTGCCTTAATTTATTTTTTTAATCTATTATATGTTCCTGAGCCATTAATTGTAGCTGTTATTATTTTTGACCATTTTGACTTTAAACCTTCATGCTAGGTGATTAGGAGACTTACATAGCACCATTGCATTACTGGGGTATTATGAGTTTGATTTATGAATTTACTTCTATTAGTGATTTTTATACTTTCACATGTTTTCATGACAGTAATTATTGTTCTTTTGTTTCCAGTCGTAGCATTCCCTTAAGTATTTCTTGTAAGTCCAGCCTAATGGTGATGAATTCCCTCAGTGTTTGCCTGTCTTGGAAGTTCCTTATTTCCCCTTCATTTCTTAAGGATAGCTTTGTGGATATAGTATTCTTTGCTGAGTATTTTTTTTCCTTCAGAACTTTGAATGTATTATCCCATTCTCTCCTGGCCTGAAAGATTTCTGCTGAGAAATCTGCTGATAGTCTAATGGCCATTTCATTATATGTGACTTGATACTTTTCTTTTGTCACTTTTAGAATTCTCTCCTTGTCTTTGATGTTTGATGATTTAATTATAATGTGCCTGGCAGAGGATCTTTTTGGGTGGAATATAATTGGGAACCTTTGGGCTTCCTGAATCTAGATGTTCATATCTCTCTCAATTACTTGGCAAATTTTCAGCTATTTTTTGTTAAATAGATTTTCTTTGCTTTTCTCCATATCTTTTCCCACTGGTATTCCTATAATGTGAATATTTCTTTGTTTAACGATGTTCTATAAGACTCAAAGGCTTTGCTCATTTTTGTATTCTTAATTTTTTTCTCAGACTGAGTTATTTCAACAGACCTGTCTTCAAGTTCAGAAATTACTTATTCTGCTTGCTCTAGCCTGCTATTGAAACTCTCAATTATATCATTTATTTCATTCATTGAGTTCTTCACCTTCAACATTTCACTTTGGTTCTTTTTTGTGATATCTATCTATTTTTTGAATTTCTCACCCAGATCATAAATTGTTTTGTAATGTTATTGAATTGTTTGTTTTCTGCTGTATCTTGCTCAGTTTCCTTAAGATCATTATTTAGATTTTCTTTTTAGGCATTCTGTAAAAGTCGTTTTCTTTGTGATCTGTCATTGAAGACTGATTACATTCTTTTGGGGATATCACATTTCCTTGCTTTTTCATGTTTCTTGTGTCCCTACATTGATATCTGTGCATCTAGTGGGATAGTTGTCTTTTCAAATTTTATGATGTACCTTTGTAAGGAGAGACTTTTTCCTGTAGATAGGTGTCTGTTGGGTAGGGTGCATTAACTTCGGTTCTGAGTAGACTCAGTAGCATGGTCTCCATGCAGTTTCTTCAGTTGCAATCCTTGTCAACAATATCTGTGATTGCTTTAGTGGCCTAGCCTGTGAGAGTTTGTAATGGCAGTGGCACAGTTTTGCTAAAGGCAGAGGTGCTCAACTGATTGTCAAGCTGCACACATGTGGGCATGGAGGTTGATAGGATGTCTGGAGGGCTCTCTGGGGAAGTGATGGTTCCTGTTGAGATGGCCATTGGCTGGACACAGGTGTGCATGAGTGTGGCTGGCTGAGCAGCCCTGTGGTGGTCTTTCCACAAAAACAAGGTTGCTTCAAGGACTGACTGTTGGGTCGAGTACGAACACATGTATGCTTGGTGCACTGGCCAGCTGTGTAGTGGGTGTGTGTGTGGGTGAGGCAACCAGCCAGCTTTAGCAGCTGCCCTGTTATACAGGTCCCCCTGTTCCTTGGGAGAATGGTGTGCCACATGGGTTCAGATGCTAGGGTCTTGGTCCTTTCATCTGGCCTAGGCTTTGAGCCATCAGGGTTATGGTTGTGTGGGGTCTGGCCACTGTGCACAGCCAGGAACACTGGTTGTGGCTGGGTGGGTGGCTCCAGGCCCTGGCACAGGTGCCAGCTTCCTGTGAATCTGTGGCTGAACCAGGCATCCTGCAAGAAGCTCCCATGGCTGGCACTGGGAAATGCAGTGGCATCCGGAAGCTCGGAGATGCCAGACACCACTGTGCCTCAAAGAGGGTGTCACAGCCTTGGTTCAGGAAGCTCCTAGGTCTGGGCTCCTTGAAGGGCCTCAGCTCTTCTCTCCTTTTATCTTTCCTTCTTGTCGACTGCAATTTGGTGAGCAAGTGGCATGTTTCAGCCCTGTTTGTGTTACATTTCTTTTAGCCCTGCCATTTGGCAGGTCCAAGTTCCTGAACTGTGTCCAGGAAGGATGAGGTAAATGAACAAGTTGAGGGTGAGCAAGACGAAGAGGAGCTTTATTGGCCAACAGAACAGCTTAGAGGAGACTTGCAGTGGTAGCTCCTCTCCACAGCCAGGGTGTCCTGATGAGTGTTCAGCTCTCAGCAGAGAGGAGACCCTGGAGTGGGTAGCTCCTCTCCACAGCTGGTTGTCCCAGTGTCTTCTCAAGTCTGGCTGAGTCCTAGGTTTTTAATGGGCTTCAGAGGGGAGGAAGTACATGCTGATTCATCCATGGGCAGCTATGGGCAAGCCTGGAAAAGCATCACAAGTTTCCACTCCAGTCCATGGGCCTGGCACCCTTGCCCCCAGGCTTCAGGTTTTCCCTGAGTCTGAAGGTGGGGCTTCACGAGAGACCCATCCCTTTCCACTCAGAAGCCCGTCTGCCTCCTGCCACTGTTCATGGTTCCCATACTGTTCATGCTGAGGGGTGCCTGCCGGCCAGCACCGAGCTGCCCTCAGCACCCCCCTTGGCCTCCATCTTGTGCTGGTTGGTGCCCAAAGTCCAGAGGGGCCCAAGGTGGCAGGGGGCTGGCATGTCAGCATTGCTCTGAGCATGTGCACACCCAGCCAGGTTGCGACAATGCCTGGGCTCAGCCTCAACTCTGCTCTGAGATTGGAACTGGGAGAGGACAGGCAGTGGGAGTAGGCAACTCCAAGCCTGCAGGGGCTTGGTAGGGCCTTCCCAGGCCTCTGACAGTGCAGAGATGCCTGGGTCTGCAGCTGCAGCTGGGCGGCTGCAGTTGCACCTGGGAGGGTGGGGCTCCTTTCTGCTCCTGGCTCCCAAGAGCACAGGGATGCCTGGGTCTGCAGCTGCAGCTGGGTGGCTGCACCCGCGTTGGGGAAGTGCAAGACTCCTGCCCTGAAAACTCAGAAGGGTGTAGGGCTTCCACCTGTTCCTGGCTCCCACCAGCTCTTTGGAGTGGGCAACCCCAGCCAAACCTCCCCCACTGCAGCTAGCATCATGGCAGCAGCTGCCCTAGACAGGCCGCCACTCTCATCATTTAGACAGACAGCACATGAATGAGATCCTTTATAGAATATGCACATTCTAACTTGATGAAAACCTGGCCAAATTTTCTTTTTTGGGTTGTCACCCAAAAAAGATGTCTAAAAAGATGTGGGGGTGTGTGTGTGTTTGTGTGTGTGTGTGTGTGTGTAAGTGTGTGAAGAGGAACATGGGGAAATCTCTTAGAATTGATTGTAGTAATTTCATATTTTGAACAAGGTTAATGGCAGTTGTTGAGAAGTGAGGCTATTCCAGATATCTAGTCAAGCCTGTTTCCTATAACCTAAATTTTTGTTTACTTTTATCCATCTACTTTAGTGGTCTATCATTCTCCAATTGAAATGGTGCCTGAGGGTGAAATTGGAAACTCTCTAATTTATACAATCCAGAGATAAAATTGCTTTAATTCAGTGAAATGGAGGATGTTACTGAAATAAGTGTTGGAGAACTTAAAATTCCTTTTTGGATATTGCATTGCAGTAAGAAAAAAAATCTGCTTTCATTTTTATATTTTCATCTTAAAATGTGAAACTCTTATTTTATAAATGCAATGTAAATAATATCCGTAATTGTACCATGCCAGTGTGAATGAGTCTCGGGTGATGTAATGTCATACACTGAATTAATTGTTGGTATACACCAAATTCTTCGTCACTTTCTTATCTTTGTATCTTATCAGAGTAAATTTACTTTCTTTGATTTTCATTTTAAAACAAAAATATTTTTATACATTTAAAATTATGTTGTAATATCAATGTAACTTTCAAAGTAAACCAGCCTCTATCCTTCAGGCATTGATACATAATCCTCGAGGTCATCTGTTTTTCTCTTTGAGAACTGAGTGATGTAGTAGTTGTATTGATTCCTTCTAAGGTCTCTTTCAGCTCTTATGAGTCTATGAATCTATTTATATGTGCATCATTTCTTTGGAATTTTATCACTTTTGTTCTTAGAGTATGTAACTAGGAGAGTCCTTCTTATAACTACAGTCGATCCTTGAACATGGGTTTGAACTGCATGAGTTCACTTATGTGCAGATTTTCTTCTGTCTCTCCATTCCTAAATTAACAAGATGAACCTCTTGTCCTCCTCCTCAGCTTGCTAAAGAGGAAGATGAGGATGAAGATCTTTATGATGATCCACTTCCACTGAATAAATAGTAAACATATTTTCTCCTTCTTATGATTTTCTTAATATAATTTTCTTTTCTCTAGCTTATGTTATTGTAAGAATACAGTATGTAATACATAAAACACTAAAAATATGAGTTAATTGACTGTTTATATTATTGGTAAGGCTTCTGGTCAAGAGTAGGCTGTTACTAAATTTTAGAGGAGTAAAAGGTTATATGAGGATTTTTGACTGCATGGGGTGTTGGTACCCCTGGCCTCCATGTTGTTTGAGGCTCAACTGTACTAATTTATAGATTTCATTATATTGATGTCAGTAAATAGACAATAATAGAGATGGAAAATATTTTCAACTTAATCTCATCAATTAAAAAATAAATGGCTTTTTCAGAAATGTCTCTCATTCTCTTAAAAATTAATATATGACCCCTAGTGTCTATGCTTATATTAAAATAATCTTAGAATTCTTAGACTAAATCTGATAATTATTTTTTTCAAAATATATTAAGAAAGAAAAAATCTGGTTGATAGATATTAGAAGGTATCATCTTGGATCTGAAGTTTAGATTATAGGGAAATATATAATTTTTAAAATTATAATTAAGCATAATACAGATTGATAATTAAATTGTGTATAGGCATATCTAAGCTATTTTATACCTGTAACATAATGGAAATCTGTCACTCTGACCATCAGTTTTTTCATTCAATCACTTGTTTTCTCTTCTATCAATTTCCCTTTCTTAATGTATTATATAAAGTAAAATATGCCAAATGAATTTCTCACAGAAGAATAACTCCTTTGAGAGATCATGAGTCTTTCAACCATATCTATCTAGAATGATTATTAGATCAGTTGAAATGTCTATAAGCTTACCTTGATGAGCTACAATTTGTCAGTACTATACACATGAAACTTGTTTGAATGAAAGAAAACTTTTCCTAAAACAACCTTTAATTTAAGCTTGATCAAGTAGTTACTGATTCTCTTTGCCAATATATTAGGCTGTCTGCATTCCAGATGTTGTAAAATTATACTACAAAGTCCCTGGTGATTGGGGTAGGTCATATAATGACTCCGGGTCCACAAGTTGTAAATAATTAATCATTAAGGAAATAATGATCGTCTCTTCTAGGATGGAGAATTTGATTTCCAGTTGAAGACACTTCAAAGCTTTCTTTCCTTCTGCCACTGTGACTGGTAGGGATGTTTACTTCTCCATCAGTTTGGGTCTTTGAGTGAGTGAAGAGATATGGTGTATCCAGTCAACCTATAATAGACATGTAGGTTGAGAGAAATAAATCTTAGTTGTTAAAATTCAAGGATTGGCAAATTGCAGCACATGGGCCAAATCCAGCCTGTAGCCTGTTTTTGTAAATAAACTTTTGAAGAAACACAGCCACATTTTTTTTTTTCATGTTGTTTATGGCTGACTTTGTGTTACAACACCAGAATTGAGTAGTTGCAACAGAAATTGTATGGCCAGAAAAATTGAAAACACTTGTTATCTGGCCCTTTAAAGAAAATGTCTAGCTTCTCCTGTTCCAGTGATGGATCCTGTGGTCTGTTCTGATAGATTGGTACTATAAGGATTCTGGTATAGAACTGTCACATCAAAATGCTGATTTTCAGCCTGGCGCAATGGCTCACGTCTGTAATCCCAGCACTTTGGGAGGCCAAGGGGGGCGGATCACCTGAGATCGGGAGTTCGAGACCAGCCTGGCCAACATGGAGAAACCCTGTCTCTACTAAAAATACAAAATTAGCCTGGCATGGTGGCTCATGCCTGTAATCCCAGCTGCTCAGGAGGCTGAGGCAGGAGAATCATTTGAACCCGGGAGGCAAGGTTGCGGTGAGCCAAGATCACGCTATTGCACTCCAGCCTGGGCAATAAGAGTGAAACTCCATCTCAAAAAAATAAATAAATAAAATAAAATAAAATAAAAAAGCTGATCTTCCTATCCTGTCTTAGCTAAGCCCAGATATTGATCCCAATAGCCTCTTGTGCCTAAAGAGTAAACCTATAGTAGGCAACAGACATCTTTGATGCTGAGGACCATTTGCTTTTACAGTATGTAGTACTATGCTATGATTGAGGTAGCTAGATGAAACATCAGATTACATAGTGTGAAAGGTAAATCTGTTTTTGTTCTTATCTCCAAGTGAACAAAATCTAAGATGTTTTATTTGAGGAATATCAATATTCTTTTAAAAATAAGATGTAGGTTTTGACAAAAGGGTTGGAAAACAGAAGCCTCAAGAGGTTCTAACTAAATTTTGAAACAATAATGAATTTGGTCATTATTACCTATTCCATACTTCTCTCTCACCCCTACCAAGTCTTTAGCATTGATATGAACTCTTTAAAAAGAAATAGAACCAGCAGATCTAGTTTTGGGATTTATAGCTTTGAGGAAAGAAGAAACTGGAAATGACCCAAAAGGCAACTTTTTTTCGGTCTACTGACTTGGACCCAAGAAGAGTGGGTGGATGGTCCAGAATGACATCAGCATACACCATGTGTGATGAAGAACCTGTCCTAGCTCAGCTAAGCTAGGCCTTTGGTACCTTTCATCTGGACTACTGCAGTAGCTCCTAGATGGTGCCCCAGTTTCCCTTATCTGTAGCCAAACTTAGTGCATTCTACTTTCTAAAGCATACATCTAAAATTTTGAATAATATGTCACTTTTTTCCTTACAAATTGGCATCTGTGGACCCCATCATGCAGCCTCACAACAGTCTCTCACCACTCCCATTCACTCACCCTGTGCCACAAACAGAAACTCAGCCACATGCATCCCACATTTTCCTTCTTTGAGCCTTAGCTTATGCTGCTTCTGCCTCAGAAAAAGCAAGAATGCTCCTTACCCCCAAAATCTTTGTCTCTCCAAGACCTAGGTTGGTTGCATCCTTCTCCCTGAAGTTCTTTCTTATTTCTTCTTCCTATAAACTTTTGCAGTGATTTGTGTACATTTCTCTTATGACAAGTACTACTTTCTGCCTTGTGTTTATATGCATGCTTTATCTCCCTAACTATACCACAAACTCATGAGGGCAGAATTCATAATTCTCTCAGCATCTAGTACAGTGTCTTGCAAATAATAATAAATATTTGTTGAATGAATGAATGAACAACTCAACTGCCCTTTTTGTGTAGGTAATGGCAAAGAGGGAAATGAGGACAAAGAGGTAGCATGTATGAGTCGTTGTCTGGCCTAGTTCTCTGTCTGCCTTTCAGGTCATAGAACCTGAGGAAAGAGCCTTGTTCTGACTAAGTGTTCATTTTATTTGAACTGCCACTTTATACCTTTATATTCATTTACTTATTAAACTAATCTGAATCTATATCCCCAGTTTCCCCACAGTCATAAAACTTATTTTATTCTTACTTTTTAAATTTTACTTTATGTTCAGTGGTATACATACAGAATGTGCAGGTTTGTTACATAGGTATACATGTGCCATGGTAGTTTGCTGCACCTATTAACTCATCATCAGGTTTGCTCTCCTTGTCCCCCACCCCACAACAGGCCCCAGTGTATGTTGTTCCCCTCTCTGTGTCCATGTGTTGTCATTGTTCAACTCCCTCTTATGAGTGAGAACATGTGGTGTTTGGTTTTCTGTTCCTGTGTTAGTTTGCTGACAATGATGGCTTCCAGCTTCATCCATGTCCCTGCAAAGGACATAATCTCATTCCTTTTTATGGCTGCCTAGTGTTCCACGGTGTATATGTACCAGGTTTTCTTTATCCAATCTATCATTGATGGGAATTTAGGTTGGTTCCATCTCTTTGCTGTTATAAATAGTGTGCCATTTTAGTCTTCTTTTAATACTCAATCTTATTTTATTGCCTTTGTCTAATCAACAATTAATTAACCTAATAAAATAAAATAATAAATTGCATAATTAATGTTTATTAAATGCTGATTATATAACAGGCAGTGTGTTAATTCACACACACACACACTCACATTTACTCCTTACAACAATCTGAGTAGGTACTATTATTATTTCTGTCTCACAAGTGAGAAAACTGAGGCATAGTGATACGAAGAGATTCCACTAAGTTATAGTGCTGCATAGCTGGTAAAGTGAAGAAGCAGCGCAACTAACCCCGTCAGTCTTTCTTAAAAACCCTCTCTCCTAGTTTGTAGAAAACTGCTTCCTCAAAGGATTTTCTCCGACTTGTCCCCATTTTTTTATACTGCCTCATTTGGTTTAACATATCAGTAAATGTATGTTTAAGCATCAAGCATTATGCTAAGGGCAGGAATATACCAGAGAGCTAGAAAACCATGTTCCTTGTCTTTAACGGGCCTGTACTTTACTTGGCCACAGAAAATATACAAATATCAAATAATTATTGGAAAACATCATCTATATTGAGTGCTAAATTGGTCAGTACAGACAAATCATAAATTTATGGATTGTTGGAGTCAAAGGTAGGAAATTTTGAGGTCAGCTAGGCTATTGTGCTTGTTTTACAGTTGAACAGCTTGACAACATATAGTGAGGTGCTAATTGTGTGATCCAAAAAATAAATAAATAACAATCAAAGGAGTTTAAAGAGATTGAGGGGGTAGAGAGTGGGTACATCAAATGGGGTTAGAAGAAAAGGAAACCAGTGTTGATGGTTGTCATCAAAGCATGATTCACAAAGGAGGTGGGACTTGACTTCAAACTCAAAAGATGAGTACATTGTATTAGGGAGAGGTTGTTTGTAGGTGTGTTTGTGCATGCATGTGTGTGCCTATGAGTGCACACATACCCAGGGCATTGCTTAAAGCTGTGAAGGGACTGAAGCATAAGATTTATACTGTCTGCTTGTTCACTATTGTATCTTCAGCATTGATGAGTGATGGTGGGTTGACATTTCAAAAGATATGGATGCCTATGCATCACCCATAGTAGTTGAATCAGAATCTTCAGGAGTTGGCTAGAGGCATCAGTATTTTAAAAAAGCTCTCCAGATGTTTCTTATGAGAAGACAGGACTGAGAACTATGAAAAAGACACTGAGTATAGTGTCTTCTATGATGTTACCATTTAGTAGAAAAATAAGATATACAAGAATAAAATAAATGTGATCAGGAGTCTGTGGTCAGTGCTCTATAGAAAGAATGGTGTAATAAAATAGAAGGATTAGATTATAGATGAGATAGATTGGTGAGAAGAGGTAGTTGGAAAGACCATTTAAAAAGCAATTATAGTAATTGTGGATTAGGAGTTTGAAGTCTAGCCTAGGGTGGTTTTTCTGGAAATAGTAAAAAGAAAGGTGTAATCTGAGAATTTTCCCAAAGGCTTGCTGACTAGTAAAATCTAAAGGGCAAGGGAAAAAAGAACTCATGAAATTAAATGACAAATACCTGACAAATGAAAAGTTGCTTTATTAAAATTCTTAAGGGTGATGTTTGGCCTATAAAAACATAACACTTACTGAACAGCTAGTGTTTAAGTTTTAACAAGTCAGCATTTAGGATTGATGAACTTATGGTGATTTTGAAATCTCATATTGATGTAAGAGCATTTTCTATTGACATATTTGCTTGGACATCCAACAATTTTTCTTAGATTAGCACTTAAACAAATTTGTGTCTCCTTTTCCTAGCCTCTTCTTACCATGAATTGAGTGAAATATAGTTGCATAATAGTTCCACCTACATTCATGACATATAATTTGTGGGCTGTGTTAGTATTAGATTTGACTACAGTATTACAGACAGCCTACCTAGCTGTGGCTTTAATCAGTAGATGAGAAGTCTGGAGGGAGACAATTGCTAGCATTAGTTCGGGGTACCAAGGATATCAGAGTTGAAGTCTCTGAGATTCTCTGAGTTTCCTCTCGTGGTTCAAGAACAACTACTAGAACTCTAATCATCATGTATATTCCAAGCAGTAAGAAGGAGAAAGCTTGGTGGGGCATAAAGAGCTTTCCTGGAAGTCCTGTGGTTCACATTTATAGCTATTGGTCACTTCTATTTGCAAAAATGGTTGGGAAATTCACTGATTCAACTAGGCATATAACCTAGAGTTCTGTTAGTGAGAAAGTCACACAGACAAATACTATTCTGCTTTTTATCTTTCTCTTTCTCTCCCTTCCCTTTTTCTTTTATTCTTTTTTTAAAAAAATGATGACCCACATATATCATACGTACTTCACTCATTTCTAGTTACTTAGATCAGCATCTTTTCTCTCCAACTCCTATAGCGAGGCTGTTTCAAGCATTTGTAATACACTTGATTCTTTTGTCATGCTTTGCATTAAATCCTGGAATTTTCCCCAACCTTGTAAATATTTTTATTTTTAAATTTGCATACATTAAGGTGCATTCCCTCTGCTGTAAAGTCCTATGGATGCTTATATCTACTTAGCATCCAATTTATTTTCGTATTTCAGTTTGTTTCACAGCATTGAAATAACTGGTTCTCACATAAAATAGTAAAAATCGTAATGGTTTTTAAATAGCTTTCCTTACAATTTCATGATACTCATCAATAAAACAAATCTAGAAACTTGAGAGAGAAATAATGAAAATTTTTGCTTCAAAGTTGAATTGCTAATAATATAGAACAGTGCTTGAATATTTAGTCATAAATATTAACGTTAGACCCAAAAGAAGCCAGAACTTACAAAAAGAAATGAAACTACCTGTACTTATATACTGATAGCTAATAGCTAAACACAATACAGTAGATACTAAATTTATTCTAGTTAAATAGGAAATTAATGGGTTAAACTCAGGAACTGCATTTATGGCTGCTATATCATACTATACAGGTTAGGTTGTTTATTTAATAGGATTTACTGTGTGAATTTTAGACATGGTAAGCACATGAACTGTGGAAATTCCCTGAATTTTATCTGGCATTGAACTGAGCTGGGCACATGAATAATAAAATAATCAAGCTTGTTATAGAGATTTTTACATGCAGAACCCAAATTATTTTAAAGGGCACTCTAGCACTACAACCTCCTCATCAAAGAAATTCAAATCTGCGCACAGTACATATGAAAAACAAGGGGATAATGCCCTTAATATATAAAGAGTTTCTACAAATCAACAAGAAAATTACTAATAATCTAATAGAAAATGATCAAGGACATGTACAAAAAGTTCTAAAAAATTAAATTAAAAAAATGGCTTTCAGCCAGGTGCAGTGGCTCATGCCTGTAATCCCAGCATTTTGGGAGACCAAGGTGGGAGGGTCGCTTGAGGCTAGGAGTTCAAGATCAGCCTGAGTAACATAGTGAGACCCTGTCTCTACAAAAATAAAAAAATTAGCTGAGCGTGGTAATGTGTCCCTGTATTCCCAACTGCTCAAAAAGCTGAGGTGGGAGGCTGAGGTTGCAGTGAGCTGTGATCACGCCACTGCACTCCAGTCTGGGTGACAGAGCAAGACCCTGTCTCTTTAAGAAAAAAAAAAGGCTTTCAAACATATAAAAAGTTGTTCAACATCATGTATAATATGAGAAATGCAAAATATAGCTCAAAGAAATTGCTTACATATTATAATGTTTACCTATTAGATTGACAAAAATTAAAAACATCCATAATATCCTGTGTCATCAATGGGTTAGGTAAACAGGCACTCATATACTGTTGTTTTGGAAAGGCAATTTGATATCTATGACTGACTATTTTATTCTTTTTCAGTTAATAATTAGGCAATTTTGTCCTATGTGGTATAGCCTATTTGCTCCTAGGCTACAAACCTGTATAGCATATTACTTTACTGAATACTGTAGGCAATTGTTACATAATGGTAAGTATTTGTGTTTCTAAACTGAGAAAAGGTACAGTAAAAACATGATAGAAAAGGTTTAAAATGGCACAGCTGTACAGGGCACTTACCACGAATGGCGCTTACAGGACTGGAAGTTGCTCTAGGTAAGTCAGTGAGGGAGTGGTGAGCAAATGTGAAAACTTAGGATATTACTGAACGCTACTGTGGACTTTATAAACACTTTTGACATAGGCTACACTAAATTTATTAAATTATTAAAACAATTTTATATCTTTAATAATTACCTTAGCTTCTGTAACATTTTTACTTTATAAACTTTTTAATTTTAAAAAGGTTTTTGACTGTTTTCTAGTAAGATTTAGCTTACAGCACAAATTGTACAGCTTTATAAAAAATTGTCTTCATATCCTTCTATAAACTTTTTTCTATTTTTAATTTTTTTTTACGTTTTAAACTTATTTTGTTAAAAAAAAGACTGACACAAACACACATATTAGGCTGGGCCTATTCAGGGTCAGGATGATCAATAACACTGTCTTCCACTTCCACATCTTGTCCCACTAGAAGGTCTTCAGTAACATGCATGGAGCTGCTATCTCCTATTATAATGATGCTTTCTTCTGGAATACCTCCTGAAACACCTGCCTGAAGTTTTGAGGGGATGTCACTCTTTTAAGAAATATGTCCATGGTGGTTTGCTTGGTTCGTTTCTTTTTTTTCATCATAGATTTGCTACAGTGTCACTAGGAGATAGGAATTTTTCAGCTCCATCATAATCTCGTGGGACCACCATTTTACATGTGTTCTGTTGATCAAAATGCTGTTAGCATGACTATACTTCAGATTTTGGGCTAAAACCTCAAATCATATTTATAGGATTTGATGATTTGTCCTTTGCCCTTTCTCATAAAGATTTCTCTTCCTTAGTTGCTTTGACCCACCACTGCATTCCTACATAAGTATAGTGGTCCAGTATGTTATGTTACTTTATGTTATTTACAGATAGAAGCAAGATTGGATAAGATAAAAATAACTCTGTTATTTTTAAATAGGACTGTCTAAGAAAAGGACTATCTAAAAAAGAAGTGAAAGAATTTGTCATGAAACACTGTTGCTCACAAATAGGAAAGCTAAAAAAGCCCATGAAATGTTAGGAGAATTCTTATTCTTCTGACCATAGATGTTTGGTTACTTGAAGCACTGATTTTGTTTTAACGTTCCTGAAAGTGTCCAGATGAGAATTTCTAAGCATATTTCTTATAAATCGTACCATCCCCCCTTAAAATAAGCTAGATTAACAAATATATACAATTAGATAAATGCAATATGCTTAAACACATGTTCCTTTTTGCAGCTTTGATTTCTGAGGGGTTTTATACTATTTCAGGCTCTCTTTTAGCTTATTTTAACATTCTAAAAGGCAAATGAGCAAATCTTAAATAAATTTTCATAAGTATGTAGCTCTGCAGAAGCTAAATAAAATATGTGAACATTATTTAAACCATATACATTATACAAACTCTTAGATTAGCATCATGGTGAAATCAAAGATAAGAACAAAACAAATGAATGGGAATAAAAACAAACAAATTCAGGAATCCAAATCATTTTTTTGATATAAGACATCAATGGTCATTCATGACTGCTAATTTCCATTTATTGTGTTCATAAACTGCCCCTCTCACCACATTCACCACATTGATTAGTATTAGAATAAGTATTGTTGTATCTTTGAACTCATAAAATAATAAATATTGCCTTTATTTTATAAATTGAGATTTCAAATAAAATACTGTTTGAAAAAAATATTGACTTAAGTTTGGTTCCTGAACTGTGCACCCAGGCACTTCAGTGGACTACACCAAAATCTCGGGTTGCCATGGGAAATTTTCCATTTTTGTTTGTCAAGACTACTGTGAACTCATGAAGTTTGGGAATTTGGGGATTTAAGTAAAGACATCGGAACATTAGATGGTGGGAAGTGCTAGATTTGAGGGTTGGCAAAGTAGCTTCAGCAAATTGTAATTAGGAGTCAAAGGCAGTGGTATAGAGCTTGTTTGAAAAGTAATACATGTAGATGTATGGTCCATGACTCAGATTTCACAGCTGTGCTAATTATTGTATGCTGTAGTAATTTTTATGATTGCCTTAAACATGTATAGGTAAATGAAATCTACTTCTCTTATAAAGTAGGGAATATATCTATAATTTTATAGTGCTAATGATATGCAGCAGTTGTTTTGTAGAATGATATCCTTGGAACAAAAGTTGTAAGAACAATGTTTGGAAAAATTCTTCAGAAATACATTGCTGGTTTTGATTTATCTAGTTCCTGTAAATATCTTTAAATAAGCCCCAATACACACACCATCGTCTGTGTTAATGATATGACTTCTCATGCAGTCAATGATTTAGCCAGGAAGATATTTTAAATAAATATGATATATTTGAGATATATTAGACCTAGAACGATTGAAAACATAATACAATTTTGAATAACAAATAAAATAATTGTAGGTGAAATCTTTTCCCAATGAAATGTTAATTATTCAAACTATAGGTGTCTGCAAATAGAAATTAAACTGAGCTGTCTTCTTAGCTTTAGTTATGACAGCAGTTTAAAATGGTTATTATGCATCCCCAGCTGCAAAAGTCTATATGCTATATTATAAGGCTTGATTAAACTCCAAGCAAATCACTACAACTTATTCCTTAGATATAATTACCCATATATCTAATTTTAAATGCTAGAATTTAAAGATATTTGACTGTTTGCTTATATCTTTAGGCTGAATGCAAATAGAACATTGTTATTCTTTATTTGAAATAACATAATTCAAAAATACTTTCTCTGTGTAAAATTATGCATAGTTTCTTTACTTACTAAAAATCAATTAATCACAACTCACCTTTGACCTGTCTTATATACCAAAACATGAGATTAACTATTATTGCTTTTTAGAAAATAAGTTTTTGTTAAAATGGCTTAATTTTTGAGCACTAAACTATTTCATTTAGATTAATTTATGCTTTCCAATATAGTTGAACATTTTCTTTCTGATGAAGTGAAATATCTAATGGCCTCTTTTGTTAATACAATTGAAGATTTATCAGATGAATTGGCCACATTGATATTCCATTATGGTGCTAAATATAAGTAGTGATTTAGAAAAACAACAACAGTACCACTACTTGTACTGAAGATGTTTGCCAACATAGAATTTGTTCACTCACACAGTGCATTAGGGCAAAGTCCTTTGAAGTCAGAGGCCACTGCTTGTATATGACTTCTGAAAAGAAAGACCACTTTTTAGTCAAAGAAGCAATCCAGTGTGGTATATCGATTTGGCAACATCACAGCTGCTTCTAATAAGTGGGATGGAAGAGCCGTTTCTATGGGGCTGGAATTACTTTTCGATTGCTGGGGCCACAGTGTTGGTACTCTTATTTTGCTGTGCCACCTTTTCTGATCAATACCGCATCACCCAGCAGATAGTAATTAGGTTTCAGAGAGCCATTCAACAAAGATCTGTGTTGACTGCGATAGACAGAGCCAAGGAAAAGGTCACACAGAATCAGCAGCCAACTAAAAGGTGATGGGTAAAGAAAAGACCCCTTGCCTGAGAAGTACTTAGCTCTTTTTTAATTACTGTAATTTTCAACAAAAGTCAGAGAGTGAGATGATGAAGTGAAGCACTTTCCTCCCTGCTGTTCCTGATGAGGCTTGATAGGCCTCGAAATTACGCATTGACTCCCCGTTTGATTTCTCCCAGTGTTTAGTGCTAATAACCTGTAGGGCCTCTTTTTTTTCTTTGTACCTCTCAGTCCTAGTGTCACTGCAGTAATTACACTGTGTGAAATCTGTACTGCAATCACAGCTGCCAACTTACAGCTTCACAGGCTGGGTCAGGCTGAGTATGGAAAAAAAGAAAGCTAATAGCTAAGAAAGAGGGAAAGATTTTAAAAAATTCCTGCAATGTTATAATGAATTTTAATAGAATTTCATCATTTCTAAACTGTGTACAAACATAACAAATTCCTAGAAACCATAAGGATTGGATGGTGCCTGTACTCTTTACTCATAATCAAACTTTTACAGAAATAAAAATGCAGCCAGTGCCAGAAATAAATGTTGATTTTAGCATCGCTGAGGCTTTGTTAATTCAAGAGCATAAGGAAATGGGTCCAGGAAATGGTGTTCTAAACAGTGCCAAATTGTGCGATAAGCATTTTTTAAATGTTTCACAGCAATATTTGTAACTTTTTAAAGAAATGCCCTTCATTAAACTGTTATTTTGTCATTCTGAGACAGGACTAACCCTGGATATACAAGTAGCACCTGCTGGTGGAATCAGGTACTAACATCCTAGATGCTGTTCTCTTGGGGAGTTTGGAACTCAGGTTCAGAAACAACAGCAATAGCAGCAGAACAGCCCTCTAGAAAATCAGGAGTACTCTTTTAATAATTGTTATTTTTTTAATGCAAAGGGATGAAATTTTTCATTATAATTGTATTCCAGATGATCTAGCATGAAAACACATCTATAATCCTCCAAAGAACTCTTACACAATTAATGAGTGTCAACTGCTGAAGCATGTAACATTTATATAGCATAAAGTTTTTATATTAAAATGCTAAGATAAAGGGTTATTAGAAACAAAGTTGTCACAAATCAAGTAATATCATAACTTAGTAAGCCATGAGGTGTGAATTCCGAATGTGTGATGAGTATCATAGTAAAAACAAATATTAAAAATGTATTAAGTTTGTATCTTAAGTTGATTCAATTATTTCAACATAACTGAAAATGATATTTAAGTACATATGTTTAAAAATATGTGATTAGTCTTAGGAATCTTATTCATAAAACATTCATGTTTACATATTCAGTGTAATGAAGGAAAGCCTCAAATGACTAAGGGCTTATAGTCACCTATTAATAAATTTTTATGTTATAAAAACCTAAAATTTTATGGAAAGTAAAGTGACAATAAAGTTAAATTCTCAAGCATTGCTGTGTTAAAATAATCAGAAATTAATGAATTAATGGAAATAAAATTTCATTATTAAGAATGGCAGCTGAAGAATTCCTTGGGGTTATTATTACAAAGACACTTGGTGGAAATGAACTAAATATGTGTCACTTCAAATGGTACAAAACACAAGGACACAGACTTCTTACACAGGATCATGCCACCTACACAGCTAAGCCATTGATTTTTTTTCTTTTTTTGGTGGAAGGGGATATCATTAATACTTTGTTAATCCCTCACAATTCATTTGTCAAGTTGCCTGTATTTCCTATTAATAGAGAAGAGGAAATTCCTTTCTGACCTTGCAAATGATGATTTTCTTTCTTGAAGCATGAGATTTGATTGCCCTGGCAATCTTGGCTCACACTTACTGCCTGCATCGTGAATATCAGTTCCTTTCTCAGTTGTAGTGTTTGACTCTATGACCTCCCACAGAAATGAATTCCAAATACAGACCATGCATTAGAAAATGGAGATGGGATTTCTTTGATACTAGATAGTAGTAGTATTGAGCTAGGAACATCCTGCTCTGATTTCTCTATAAATGCAAATCAGTCTGGGTTAGAGTGTAGATATGCAAATAGTTGTGGGAAGCATTTGCCCTATGAAATTGTACTTAAAAATCACAGAGTGGATACCAATGTACCTTTTTGTCCCTACATGGATTAGAGGAAATAGAGAATATTTTGCCAATAAACCTAGCTGGAGGAAAGCAGCTATTTTGGTAATCTATCAATTCAGACTTTTGTTTCTGGAATGTGTGATGTTTTCTGTGGAACCAGGACAAAAGTTGCTCTTTGCTTTATTAATTATTTGACAATAAAAATATTTGCACAGTGCTTTGTAGTTTATAATGAGATTTTTCTGGTCTAATTAAAGTTATCTCATTTCATTTTCTTAATAGTCCTCAAAGCAGGTATTATTTTTATTATTTTTATTGGTATTTTTTGGGGTTTTTTTGTATTTTTTTTGGTATACATCCAATTTATATTATTGGTATGTTTTTTGTTGGTATATTTTTATTTTTATTGATATACATCCCTATCAATTATGAGAATGATATTTGGGGGGAATATATAAAATGCTCAGGAAAGCAACTGTTTTGTATATTTTTTGACACTTTGGAGGGGCTTATTTAGATATAAGCAGAACACTCACTACAAGTCAAACTTATCAATTTTTCTGTGTCTCCTAAGAAATGTTACCACAGTTTGAAAAAATTGACATTGCTAATCTTGTTGCAGTTGGTGTGCATATTTGAATATGAAAAAAGACAATTCAAAACATTTATAATGAAACATTTCAGTGTTTCATGTTCTTCTTCTCCAATTTGTCTGAATTTGAAAGGCTATACTTCACTGTTTCAAGAAAGATTAAAAATGGATATTTTCAGTCAAATGTATAGAAGCAGAGAGTAGAGTGATGGTTGCCAGTGGCTGGTGGTGGAAATGAGGAATGAGGAGATTTTGGATAAATAATACAATATTTCAGTTAAGAGGATTAAGTTCATGAAATCTATTGTACAACATGGTGACCATAGTCAAAAACAATGTATTGGCTTGGCCAGGCGCGGTGGCTCACGCCTGTAATCCCAGCACTTTGGGAGGCCGAGGCGGGCAGATCACAAGGTCAGGAGATCGAGACCATCCTGGCTAACATGGTGAAACCCCGTCTCTACTAAAAAAAAAAAAAATGCAAAAAATTAGCCGGGCGTGATGGCGGGTGCCTGTAGTCCCAGCTACTCAGGAGGTTGAGGCAGGAGAATGGCATGAACCTGGGAGGCAGAGCTTGCAGTGAGCCGAGATTGCGCCACTGCACTCCAGCCTGGGTGACAGAGCGAGACTCCGTCTCAAAAACAAAAAAATATAATAAAATAAAATAAAACAATGTTTTGTATATTTGAAAATTGCTAAGAGAGTAGATTTTAGGTGTTCTCATTGCAAAAAATAATAAATATATGAGATAATGCATGGGTTAATGAGCTTGATTTAGCCATTCTGCAATATGTACATATTTCAGAACATCATATTGCACATCAAAAATATATACAAATTTTATTTGTCGATTAAATAAAAACAAGTGTTTTTCTTAACATATGTTATAGCTACTTTTTTATTGTAGTAAAATACCATAATATAAACTTTACCATTTTAAATCATTTTTAATTGATCAGTTCTGTGGCATAAGAATATTCACATTGTTCTACCACCATCATTGCCATGCATTTCTAGACATTTTTCATCTTTCCAAACTGAAACGCTGTACATTAAGTTCTAAGCCTCCATTTGCCCCTGCCCTCAACCCTGGCAACCACCATTCTGCTTCCTGTTTTTTATGAATTTGATTACTCTAGATAACTCATAAATCGAATCACACAATATTTATCCTTTTGTGCTTGGCTTATTTCACTTGGCATAATGTCTTCAAGGTTTACCCATGTTTAGCATATATCAGAATTTTCTTCCCTTAGGCCTGAATAATATTCCATTGCACACACACACACATATATATATATGTATATTCATTTATCCCTATATATGTATGTATATATATGTGTGTATATATATGTGTGTGTGTGTGTATATATATGTATATATATATATATTTTTTTTTTTTTTTTTTGAGAAAGGGTCTTGCTCTTTCTCTGTAACCTTGAACTCCTGGGCTCAAGTGATCCTCCCACTTCAGCCTTGAGAGTAGCTAGGACTACAGGTGTGTGCTACCATGCCCAGCTCATTTTTTAATTTTTTTTTTTATGTTTTGTGGAGAGGGAATCTTGCTTTGTTGCCCAGTCTGGTCTCAAACTCCTGGCTTTAAGCGATCCTCCCAGCTTGGCCTCCCAAAGTGCCAGGATTAGAGATGTGAGCCACCCACCTGGCCGGTTACAACACTTTTAACTGAATAATTTTATTCTTTAAAATACTATTGAAAAATCTAAGTGGGTAAACTTATTTTTATAAGATGCTTGGAAATATGGATATCATTATTTCTATATTTTTATCATCTACTTTCATTCCTTTGATATTCTTGAAGTATTTTATTTGCAAACATTATTGTTTTAACTTGAAAGTCTTAATATTTATTGAGCATCTATGTGCAGTGTGAAATATGTCTCATAAAATCTGGAACATCTGGCAACACATTGGTTCACTTTTTCACACAGGATTTTGTGCAGCTGAGTGGCAGTTATCATCTTTAAACAGAATTTGCATTCTTCAGTGGAACACAGATTTTATATTTTCTGCCTTTCTTATTTATACATGCCCAGACTGACACAGACCTGTCCCTGGGCTATGCTTGACATGTGTCTAGTCCAAATTAAGACATGTTGCAAATGTAAAATTCACACTGGACTTCAAAGATTTAGTATGAAAAAAGATGGCAAGATAGCCCATTAATACTTTTTGTATTAATTATATGTATAAATAATTACATTTTTGGTAAAGAAAATACATTACTAAAATAAATTTTACCTGTTTCTTTTTACTGCAGCTACTAGATAATTTAAAATTACATGTGTGCCTCACATTAAATTATTGTTCAGTACTGATCTCAGTGTTTATAGTCCAATTCAGGGGTTGCTAAGCCTGGGGGCCAGATCTGACTGGCCGCGTGTTTTGATATGATCAGAAAGTTAGAATGGTTT
Organism: Homo sapiens; assembly: GCF_000001405.40. Classification (NCBI taxonomy): domain Eukaryota; kingdom Metazoa; phylum Chordata; class Mammalia; order Primates; family Hominidae; genus Homo; species Homo sapiens. The sequence goes on along the minus strand of NC_000011.10, from coordinate 31,156,331 downwards.
TCACAGATGAATATTTGTGATTGATTCGATGATAGGAAACATTAGCTTTGAACTCTAATTAAGTGAAATGTTATTCTCCTAAAAGGAATTACATTCTTCTCATTAGTAGATCTGTATTTCAAAATATTGTACTCAATTATATTTTGAATTTTGTAAAACACAACATGAAATTCTTTTCCCTCTTGTTATTTAAGTTCATATATTTTATCCTTGTTTTTGCCTCTGGTGTGCAAAGCCTAAAAAGTATTTACTATCTGTTTCTTTACAGAAACAGTTTGCCAACTGCTGACCCAAATGGGCTGGGCAAGACAAGTTTGAGAAGGAGCTAAGCATACTGGAAATGTTTTAGATTCCAGTCATCAAGAGTTCTAATCTTATTAACTGGTCTGACCTCTGAGTCTTAGTTTTTCTTATCTGCAAAATGACAATAATGATTTTTTTAGGGTTATATTGAAGATGAAGATACTGTATGAGATATATTGTGGACGAGGTGACTCTAATGTCTCCTCTGCCTAGAATGCTCTTCCCTTGTCCACCTTGACGTGGTCACCTCTTGCCCACCTTTAGCTTCATAACTTGCTGCCTCATGGGAGCATTTACTGGTGTGGCCTCCAGCCTAGGGTAGTTTCCCTCCAAATTCCACACTTCTTTTTATGCTTGTCATACTTACTCCTACTTGTCCTCTGTCTGCCTTCTTTCTAAGATGTTAAGCTCCATGAGGGAAATGTCTGGCTTGTTAACCACTGTTTCCTAACCTTGACACATAATGAGTATTCAATAAATATTTTTTGAATGATGTTGATGATGCAAAATTCTGTACATGTGACATAAAAAGAATTCAAAGGAAGGAGATTATTTTTTCTGTGGAGATTTCAAAGTTTGTGTCTTGAGAAATGGGTCATGTTTTGGGACAAATAGCTCAAACATACTTGACTCTTCCCCCCTACAGTACTTTCTTAAAGATAAGTGAGACAGTGCCAGCACTAGCACAGTGCCTGGCACATAGTAAGTCCTCAAGAAATTATCTCTCCTCTACTGATGGATGATGATGATGAATTCAAACATTGAACATGAAAATATCAAAAGACCTAGGTTCTAGATAAAGTTGAGAGGTCAAACTTTTTGGAAAGCAAAATGGAATCCATTTCAGACTAAGTAAATTAGTCCTCTTTAGTATCCAGATTCAAACCATTGTGAACAACAAAAGTTTTAGCTTTTTTGAAAAATGAACAGGATTAGAAATGCGGGACAGTAAAAATTTGGAATCCAAATTGGGTTCCGAAAGTCAGAACTAAGTAAAAATAAATCTTCTGAGGTTATATATTAGTTACAAGTTTATACAATAAATGTCCCTTTGCCTAAAAATGCTTCTGGTCAGAGTGGTAGCTGGCAGAACACAAGGCTGAACACCTGGGAAGAAGAACCACGTAGTAGGGCATAGTAATGCATCCACATTAGCCTTTCACAGCAGGAATGGACACTCGCGCTCCAGAGAGGACGGAGCCAGTAATGAAATCCAGTGCCAGGGTTCCCTTTTACAGCCTTTTCTAACCTTATATATTGTAAAAGGCTAGCTTTGCATGATGAAGATGGCTTCAGACAATGGACTCTTTATCCTCCTTTATTTATATTTATATATTGCACCAGACTTCAGGGCTTTCCAGAATTTCTTTTAATAATTCTATTTATCCCAGCCATAATTTTCACTACAGCTCTGTTCAGGTTAACTGGTATTTGTTAAATATCTATTCTGTGCTAGACATGAGAGATGTAGAGATGAATACATACTAAGAGCCCACTTTAGAGGAGCTCAGTCTGGTAGAAGGGATCAACATGTAAGAGACACCACTTACCACTGTGATAAGTGCTGTGATAGCACCCTGCATAATTAATATAGGAGCACAGTAGAGGGTATCAAAGATGGGCTCCTGGGCCTAGGACTGAGAAGTCAGAGCAGGCTTCCTGGAGGGAAACCAGAGCAGAGTCTGAGTGTATGTGTGAGTGTTAGTTGAGGGAGAGCATTTGTATTAGTCTGTTCTCATACTGCTATAAAGAACTACCTGACACTGGGTAATTTATGAAGAAGAGAGGTTTAATTGACTCACAGTTCCATAGGCTGTAGAAGAAGCATGGCCAGGGAGGCCTCAGGAAACTTACTATCATGGAGAAAGGTGAAGGGGAAGCAGGCACCTTCTTCACATGCCGGAGCAGGAGAGAGAGAGTGAGGGGAAGTGCCACACACTGTTTAACAACCAGATCTTGTGAGAACTCACTCGCTAGCGTGAGAATAGCAAGGGAGAAATCTGCCCCCATGATCTAATCGCCTCCCACCAGGTCCCTCCCCCAACACTGGTGATTACAATTCAACATGGGATTTGGGTGTGGACACAGAGCCAAACCATATTATTATAGGCAGAGCAACAGTTTGAACAGTGGCACAGGTGTGAGAGTGTGTGTGTGTGTGTGTGTGTGCATGACACTGTGTGAATGATACAGCATAGAGTTATGGTAATTGTGTGTGTGTGTGTGTGTGTGTGTGTGTGTGTTTTAAGACTGAGTCTGGCTCTATCGCCCAGGCTGGAGTGCTGTGGCACAATCTCAGCACACTGCAACCTCTGCATCCTGGGTTCAAGCGATTCTTGTGCCTCAGCCTTCCGAGTAGCTGGGATTACAGGCGCCCACCACCATGCCCGGCTGATTTTTGTATTTTTAGGAGAGATGGGGTTTCACCATGTTGGCCAGGCTGGTCTGGAACTCCTGACCTCAAGTGATCCGCCCGCCTCGGCCTCCCAAAATACTGGGGTTACATGCGTGAGCCACTGCGACTGGCCAGTAATCTACTTTTTATCCTTATATTCTCCACATCCCACAAAAGAATTTATGGTTATAACAAGTAATTACAGTGGGAATTCCCAGAGTGGGGAAGGAGCTTGATAATGCGATGGGGGTTTGAAGAGTAGATTTTGAGAGTCTCTCATAATTTCAGGATGTAGGGGCATTGATGACATGAGATAGTTGTATAACATGAGAATAACTATGACATAGCGTAAGGGCAAGTCAGAGTTGTAAGGAAGGGGATGGGAGAAGAGGCAGATGAGGAGGGAGAAGCCAGATAGTAATGCCATGATAAAGAGCTTGGGTTTCTAACCTGTAGGCAGTAGGGAGTCACTGAGGGGTTTGGAGTGGACAGTGACATTGTCAGATTTTTGTCTTACATTAGAGCTCAAAATCCAGCTAAATCCAAAACATAGGTATATGTATGGTTTAGCCCGCTCAAGGTTTAAAAATTTTTTGACCCAGTATTGAGAATATATCCAAACTTTAGAGTCTGTATTCCCTTATGGCAACAATATGTAGAGATAGATGGCAGCTGGGCCACTGGATGGAGAAAGAAACCATCTTTCTCTCAGTTCCCACACATTAAAGCCCATGGGAAGATTCCTGAGTGTTCCAATTTTGCTCATTCCTGAACTAATTATGCCGTTCTGTGGTTAGTCAGGACTGAGCCAATTAGCCTGCCCCATTGTGGCATGGTTTGCCATGATTGTTGTCTCTCAACTAGGACCAAATGAAATGGGAAGACTCAGTAACCTCTTGGATGGCCACAGGTGCAGAGTGGAGGTGTAAGCACACCACAAGACAGTAGAAAGTAGAAAGACAGTAAATAATTTCAACAAATGTGTGAGCTGATGTGCTCGAGCTGTGAATACACTGTTTTGGTGACACAAAGGAGATGACAGACTGCCTCAGGAAAGGCGACCCAAAGAGATTAGAGGACTTTAGTAAGCACAGAAATAGTGGAAGAGAATTTTCCCAAAATGCTCCTAGAATTTACTTGTTATCTCTGCCTAATTATTTCACTCTCAGCAACTCCTGATTTAAACAGTAGATCACATGGTTACCCTGCATAGAGCAACACTGTGGTGGAGACTTTTAGCTTTCCATTAGAATCACTCTTTTCTTTTTTTGAAATACAACTATACTCTATCTCCCAGCCTGACTTACAGTTGGAAATGGCCATGTGACTAAGCTCTCTCCAATGGAATGGAGGCAAAAATGATGTGTCCCCAATAGCGACAGAGTTAAGGATTACGAAAATAAAAAGACAGTGTGCTTCTATCCCTATTCCAAACTTCTTGTGTCGCAAGTCTAATTTGCACTGTGATGAGGAGACAGCTTTCAATTAGACATGAAATGAAAAAATTGAACCAGGTTGAATGAAAATTATTCATATTTAATTTTATTTTTAATTGACAAATAATAATTATATTTATGAGGTATGATGTGATGTTATGAGACACACACATCATGAAATGATTACATCAAGTGAATTAACATGTCCATTACCACATAATTATCACTGTTTTGTGGTGAGAACATTTAAAATTTTAAAATATATACAACATATTATTAACTACGGTCACCAGGCTGTGCAATAGATCACTAAAACTTATACCTTCTAATGGAAACTTTGTACCTTTTGACCTTTGTACCTTTCGATAACTATTGGTGACTAGATAGTTATAGGTCTGCTTAAGATGTTTTTAAGGAACATTTGAATGCATTGCTATGCAAAATAAGCAAGCTGTCAACTAATATGGCGATGTGATACCATTTCTGTAAACATAACATTCACGTACTTTACATGTACCTATATTTCTATACATGTGCCTAGGAAAATGTCTAAAATATTAAATACAAAACTGTTAACAGCACCTCTGAGTATTCATTAATTGTTGTATTGTATTAGAATAGATTAATGGATATTTTCAGTATGAAAAAATAATGACATTGGGTGCTGTTTTTGATAATCCTAGAGATGAAGTAGAGGTTAGGTAAGTTTCATTAATAATTGCAGACAGCCAGGGGATCTTTATCCAGTTTCTTTTTTGTATAATCTTCCAAAATGAATTCTCCTAGATTAAAGGCTCCAAATGTAATTTGTTTTCTCATTAGGTCATAAAAGATCATAATAGAATTCTGATTTTTGACTCTAAGCTTTCATAATTTTATGCTTCGATTTGAATTTAAAAATTGCCAGTTTGTTACTATCTAGCTATTTTTTCATTTTATCATATTTTCTGGTGTATCCAAGACAAAATTAAAAATCATAAGCGGCTGAAGTTAGACATGCCTGGATTTGAATCCTAGTTTTTCAATTTTCTTTGCCTTGTGTTCATGAGCATGCTACTTAACTTCTTTAAGCATCATTTACACAAATGTGCTGAAGTTATTTTGAGAGCTGAATGATACAGTGTATCTGCCGTGCCCAGAACAGTGTGACAGAGTAGGCAGTGAGTATCCCACCCTTTTCTCTTCCTCATCTTTGTTCTCATTTCCGTTCACTTTTAAGAAGCAGGAAATATAGTTTAATGCAATTCTTAAATAAGAATTTATTAATCTTCCATTGCCTGACACAATTTACACTACATTCTTTTTTTGATTCCCACAGAAGTTTAGTAGCCTGTTGGCAATTTTAAAAGCAAAGGTGATAATAGTTTATCTCCTTTTGTCTATTTTTATGAATTTTAGGGTTTTTTTGAATTATATTTGATCTTTTAAAAATTGAGAAGATATAAGGGAAAAAGCAATTATGTTGGAGAAAGTGTGGACATAGATGATAAGAAATAAGTACAGTAGTAAATTAGATATATTGGTGGGTGACAAGGAAAGGAGTATTAAAAAGAGGCTTTCTTATTACAAAATTAATGCATCTCTTTCTCTTTATACAGATAGAAAGATAGATAGATAGATAGATATTGTAGAAAATTTAGTTGAGTAAAGCTGATATAAATTAAAAAGAAAGACGGTTATACTACTTATCATAGCCTCACCATTCTGAGTAGCTATTCTCAATATTTTGGCATATGCCCTTTTTATATATACTGATCCATATTTAAAATTTTATTTACTTTTTGAGACTTGATTTTTCATTTAATGTAATGATATTATTTCCCATTGTTAAATATTTCATGGCATTATTTTAAATAGATGATGATATTCTACCCTACTGGTTTATTTTACTAATCCTCTTATTTTTGAACATTTACATAGCATGCAATCCTTTTACTGTTGCAAGCAATGTTTTGTCATCCTCTTAGTCAATCTTTGGGTGCATATCCATAGTTATTTCCTGTTGACAAATTTTTAGAAGTGGAATTTCTGGCAAATTAAGACCACAGTGAGAGATGCCACATTACTTCTGGAAGAATGGCCATAATTAAAAAATCAACAAACGATAGCTGTTAGTGTAGATGTGGTGAAAAGGCAACACTTTTAAATTGCTGGTGGGAATGTAAATTAGTACACCCACCGTGGAAAACAGTATGGAGATTCCTTAAAGAACTAAAAGTAGAACAACCATTTGATCCCGCAATCCTTCTGTGTCCGGAATTTATTCCTTCGGGTGGGTTCTTGGTCTTGCTGACTTCAAGAATGAAGCTGAGGACCCTTGCGGCAAGTGTTACAGCTCTTAAAGATGGTGTGTCCGGAGTTTGTTCCTTCAGATGTTCAGAGGTGTCTGGAGTTTCTTCCTTCCTGTGGGTTCGTGGTCTTGCTGACTTCTGGAGTGAAGCCACAGACCTTCGCAGTGAGTGATACAGCTCTTAAAGGTGGCGCATCTGGAGTTGTTTGTTCCTCCTGGTAGGTTCGTTGTCTCGGTGACTTCAGGAATAAAGCCGCAGACCCTCGTGGTGAGTGTTATGGCTCATAAAGTTAGTGCAGACCCAAAGAGTGAGCAGCAGCAACATTAATTGTGAAGAGCAAAAGAACAAAGCTTCCACAGCGTGGAAGCCAACCCGAGCAGGTTGCTGCTGCTGGGCGGGTTGCTGCTGCTGGCTGGGGTGGCCAGCTTTTATTCTCTTATTTGGCCCCGCCCACATCCTGCTGATTGGTCCATTTTACAGAGTGCTGATTGGTCCATTTTACAGAGTGCTGATTGATCCATTTTATAGAGTGCTGATTGGTGCGTTTACAAGCCTTTAGCTAGACACAGAGCACTGATTGGTGCATTTACTATCCTCTAGCTAGACAGAAAAGTTCTCCAAGTACCCTCTTGACCCAGGAAGTCCAGCTGGCTTCACCTCTCACTACTACTGGGTACTTACCCAAAGGAAAAGAAGTCATTGTAAGAAAAAGACACATGCACATATGCATGTTTATAGCAGCACAATTTGCAGGTGCCCATCAACCAATGAGTGGATTAAGAAAACGTGGTATATATACACCATAAAATACTACTCAGTCATAAAAAGGAATAAAATAATGTCTTTTGCAGCAGCTTGGACGGAGCTGGAGGCCATTATTCTAAGTGAGGTAACTCAGTAATGGAAAACCAGATATCATATGTTCTCATTTATAAGTGGGAGCTAAGCTTTGAGGATGGGAAGGCATAAGAGTAATATAATGGATTTTGGGGACTTGGGGGGAAGTTGGGCGGGGGTGAGGGATAAAATACTACATATTGGGCACAGTGTATACTGCTTGGGTGACAGGTGCACCAAAATCTCAGAAATCACCACTAAAGAACTTATCCATGTAACCGAAAACCATCTGTACCTTGAAAACTATTGAAATAAAAAAAGAAGTGGAATTTCTGGATCAAAGAGACCGTGAACTTTTTTTTTTTTTGAGACGGAGTCTTGCTCTGTATAAAAGAAACCATCATAATATTTGATAATCAGCAAACCAAAGCATAACAACCATTTTAAAAGAGTATTATATTTAAAGGGTTATAATTTGTCTAAAAGGACAAAAAAGGGAATTCTCCAAAACTTACTTAGCACTTAAAGAAACTTATTTATTTATTTATTTATTTTATTTTTTGAGACAGGGTGTTTCTTGCTCTGTTGTCCAGGCTAGAGTGCAGTGGTACAGTCTTGGCTCACTGCAACCTCCACCTCCAGGCTCAAGCGATTATCCCATGCCTGGCTAGTTTTTTGTATTTTTGGTAGAGATGGGGTTTTGCCATGTTGCCCAGGCTGGTCTCGAACTCCTGAGCTCACGTGATCCGCCCACTTCGGCCTCCCAGACTGTTGGGATTACAAGTGTGAGCCACGGCGCCCGGCCTTAAATGGCTAAGATCTTTTTCCTTTCCTGTTTTTTTTTTTTTTTTTTTTTTTTATAATAATAAATTCTAGCTCTTACACATTCTGTGGAGAAAATGGTTCTAAATTAGTCCTGACTCAGTAGCCAGATTATAAACTTTTTGCTTAGATATTCTGCCATGATCAGGAATGCCATGTGCCCTAACCTGAACTCAGCTTGCCCTCTCAAACTGCCTCTCTACTGCATTTCTTCCACTACCACTCTGAGTTTTGGAGGAACTGTGCTCTGCGAGCTAAGGGGTGGGCCCCTGACCCCAGCCAGGCCAATCAGCCTCTCTCTTAAGAGATAGTCATGAAGGGAGCCACTTAGAGGCATAAAGAATTAGAGAAAATCTGTACCATTAGCAGCACTGTAAAGAGACTGTCCCTTAGATCGAGATGTCTGGAGTGATTCCCACTCTCTACAGACTCTTTCTTTGGCCTTCCCTTAAATTCCATGGGCTACCACCTGCCATCCTATTAAATTATGGTTTTGCCTAAGTTAGCCTGGATCAGCTCCCATTGATTGCAACCCATCAGCCCTAATAGATATGTCACATATGTCCTCACAGTAAATGTCCCATGAATTTGGAAGATCTGAGCGAGTATCTATTCCTTGGAACCTAAGGTATCCAACTCAAATATCTTAATCATGTCACAAGTTTAAAGAAGTCCTTCATATATTATAATGGTTAATATAACCAGGGTAATGATTTTTAAATTATCAGTGTGCTTTTCTTTCAGGCCTTTGCAAGTACAAAGCTGCCAAAACTAGCCCCCAGGCATCCCTAGAATTTGTCACAATAATATTGTTGCTGAGTGTTCAATGGAATTGTCCAACAAGACAATATCCTTGCAAAAAAGGCTGTTTCCTTGAGAGAAAATTTTTCTCTCAAGAAAAACCTTTACTCCTCCCAATTAGCATATACACAGTTAAACTTAGAAGGCTCAGCCCACAAATTTCCCCCTTTAAAGTTAAGAGTAGGACTCTGTCTGTTGTTGAACCTTTGCTGGAGTGAGGAATAAGAAAGAAACAACACAGAAATAAAATAAAATTTCAGCCCCTTCTGTCCTAGAGGAAATACAGGAAGAAGTCTAAGAAAAGGGAGAATAAAACTCAAACAGCCAGATGAGTGAGTCCTAAATGCTCCTTCTGCAGGGTGTAGCTTAGGGAGGAAGACAAGTACCAGGTAAATGAAAACAAGTGCTTAGGCAGAAGGGACTTCTGCCCCACTCCCCTTAATATTGAGACACAGGAAGAAGCTATGCTGTAGCAACCTAGGATACAGCCACCTCGACACGATGGCATATCAAAGGCAGGCGGAAGGAGGCCTGAGATTTTCTGAACCACGCTTGGTTTTCATGTGTCCTAGGTCATGGAAGTAACTGAGAGTTAAGCTGGGATGTTTGTCCCAGGATATTGGCATACTCAAGGAAAGATGGCTCTATAGTGATGATAGTGTCACAGACCAGTTAAGCCAAGGTCAAGTGGGTGTTTCAGCCGGACGTTAGAAGGAGTTTCTAATAACACAGGAAGTCAAGTTTAGGTTGGATCATCTAGGAAGCACCACCATAAAAAATGCCTGAGCCAAAAGAATGGGCCACAAGTTCACACACTGCAGGCCAGTGGGGCATCCAGCAGCCAAGTGAATGTGGGCCATCCTTCCATCGACCAGCAGCTGCTGTGTCAATGTGTACATTCCAAAGGGCAGCACAACATCAGAGGCCCCTTCCCCCAACACCTTGAGGATATGAAAGCCACACAACCCCTTCTTCCATGTTGCACCTTAAGTAAACCAACGGGGAAAAGGAGAGGCTTTCTGAGAGAAATCATGACCTAAAATAACTATTTAAATGACTAGGGCTGGGCATGGTGGCTCACACCTATATTCCCAGCCCTTTGGGAGGCCAAGGTGGGCAGATCACCTGAGGTCAGGAGTTCAAGACCAGCCTGGCCAACATGGTGAAACCCCATCTCTACTAAAAAAACAAAAACAAACAAAAAAAAATTAGCCAGGCATGGTGGTTCAAGCAGGTAATCCTAGCTACTTGGGAGGCTGAGGTCAAAGAATCCTTGAACCTGGGAGGCGGAGGTTGCAGTGAGCCGATATTGTGCCACTGCACTCTAGTCTGGGCAACAGAGCGAGACTCCTTCTCAAAAAAAAAAAAAAAAAGACTGGATTAAACTAAGCTTTAAACTGATTTAGACATTCAGTTATTTTGCCCCCATTATCCAGTGGGTGAGAGCTCAGGAAGAAAGTAATATTAGTGTCTAACTCAGTCATTTAGTTATTTTGCCACAAATTATATACATGCATGTGATGTAATGTATTGATAGACTAAGCCAAGGAAAAAAGACAAAACGGGATTTATAAGACAAAGGAGAGGAATAAATGCAGCCACACTGCACATATTTAGGGTAATAAGCTGGCACTTACCAAATTGAGAAGGACAATCAAGTGTATCAAATAAAACATCGTAAGTTGTTTATGAATTCTCCAAAACATCTTGAGAGTTCAGCTGAGAATCACGTCTGCCAGGCTGTCTCTGTATTCTTTCTGCTCATGCTGCCACTTCAGTGAGGCCAGTCCCGCATACTTTTCCTCATTCAAATTTCTCATTACTCTACCCAAAGAGAAGAACCACATTTTCTCTGTGCATTTCTCACCTACTAAAGTAATTATCTGAATCAAAGAACTTGAGAACTGCATTCAGAATTCTGGGATCCTGAAAAAATAAGCCAGATAGGCCACCACCCTTATAGAGCAGAGTGTGAATGTCGCTTAAGCTGGGCATGATGTACCTTTCAGCTCCAATAAGGCTACTTCCGGTCATTACCTAGTAAAGATCTCTTCAGACTGGTTTCCTCAACGCACTCGTTCCTATCTTCGAGTATTTCTCCTGCCTCTCTGCCCATCTGGTATGGACTCCATCATCCAGACAAACCCCATCAATCCTTTGTGGCCCAACATTGGTCCAACCTCATCCATGAAGCTCTATCTGGCTCCGTCCTCTCACCATATGCATACAGATATGTACTTCATTACTTTTCTAAAATCCAAAAAAAATCTGAATTTCCACAATACATTGAGCATCAAGGGCTCAGATAGGGATTGTGGCCCAAATTTCAAATCAACTAGGAAAAAGTGAATTATGAAATAGGTACTATTAACTATCACTTTAGAAGAACATGTTGGAGGCATTTTTTTACTTCACACACTTTTGGTAACTTAAATATTTAAATATAATAATAAAAGTTATAGAAGATAATATAGTTGGAGTCATAAAGTCTAAAAGGAAATGGGTCTTTCTAAGTCTAATATGGATAGAATTAATGAAATGAATGTCTGGAACTATACCTCAAAAAGGAACTTTAATAACATCAAAAGCAACAATATACTGAGAAAATATTTGCAATGTGACAATAAGTTAATATGCTTAATATGTGAAGTGCACTTTCAGACAGATTTTCAAAATCATTCATAAAAAGATAAAAACCAAGGAAAGTAAGAGCAAAGAAAGTAAACATACAACATAAAAGAAAAAATACATATAGCAAAAGAAAATACATAGAAAAAAAGTTCAATATTACTACTAATAGAATAATTCAAACTAAAACAATGAGATGATGTGTTTTAACTTACCAAACGGTCAAAAAATTTGATGGATGATAAAGATTAGTGGATTTAAGGACTAGTGAATACAGGGAAACTGGTGTTTTTATTTATAGCTAGTGAAAACATAAATGCTACAACTATGTAGAGGAAAATTTGTCAAAGAATATCAAACCTTAAACATTTGCACAGTCTTTGGCCGGGCACGGTGGTTCATGCCTGCAATCCCAGCCCTTTGGGAAGCCGAGGCTGGTGGATCACCTGCTCAGGAGTTTGATGCCTGAGCAACATGGTGAAACCCCGTCTCTACAAAAAATTAAAAAAAAAAAATATTAGCCAGGCGTGGTGGCACGCGCCTGTAGTCCCAGCTACTAGGGAGGCTGAGGCAGGAGAATCACTTTAACCTGGGAGGCGGAGGTTGCAGTGAGCCAAGATTGTACCACTGCACTCTAGCCTGGACAACAGAGCAAGAAAGACCCTGTCTCAAAAAATAAAATATAATAAAAAAATAAGTAAGTTTCTTTAAGTGCTAAGTAAGTTTTGGAGAATTCCCTTTTTTGTCCTTTTAGACAAATTATAACCCTTTTAAAATAATACTCTTTTAAAATGGTTGTGTTTTGGTTTGCTGATTATCAAATATTATGGTGGTTTCTTTTATACCTTCTCTCTTAAACTGCCCTCAAGAAGCTGCAGACTGTGATCAAAGTAGCGTCATTCAAAGAATTAGCAAGGATAGGAGAGGAATCCCTGGCTTTGGAAGCTTGGGCTGCATTAACCATCACTATTGCTCAATGTCTTAGGGCTAATTTATGGCAGAGCCAGAATTCACAGCCAGTTATAAATGAAAGGTTTCTATCTCTTCCCCAAGATGAGAAGTGGCACTCTTGAATTTCTTTATAGAGGGACTTAAGTGAGATTACATTACTAAAAGTAGGGGCTAGGTCAGGACTTAGTTAAGGCATCTCTAAGATTGCTACTGAGTTAAGCATGTATAGCTTGAGGGAATGTAATTGAGCCAATGCAGAGCTGAGAACTGAGTCTTCAGTTCTGCCTGCATTGTAAGACTGGGCTCTTGGCACATATGCTCCACTTATATTTAAGTTCAAAAATAGATTAAGTATGGATTCACAGTAACCATCTAGCCCTTTGCTTCCCAGTATGAATCATTCCTTCTACTACTTCAGCTGATTGGATCAGCCATGCCCTTTCTCTCTGCTTCTTGCTCAAGGTTCAGCTTGTCTTCTCCCCTCCCTCTCCCAAAGCTATGTCCAGCCACTTCACTCATTTTACTTAGAACTAGTTTCATCATGTAATTAATTATTAATTAAAAATAATAAACATATTACTTATTAATAATGCCCCGTATTACCACTTCTCATCTTTTTCTAGCCAGATACTACCTATTATTTATGCTTCTCCATCTCCAGCCACTCCATCTCTAAATGATATTTCTATCCTTCTTACTTATAGATTGTATTGTTTATGTGTCCATTTGGCCATTATGATGTGCCTTGTGTCATATATTGTTTCTCACTTCCTATTGTTTTTTAATTGTCTCCTTAACCATATTGCACTTTACTGTTAACCTATTTGTATCTGGAAAAATGTCTAGTACAGTTTGTTGCGTGTGGAAACATGTCATATTATTTAATGCTGTGATTTTCTAAATTATGAGGGAAAGTGCGATCAATTTGGTTCAGCTCAGGTTCCCAATACCCTCCTTGCCCACAGCTACAATTTTAATCAAGAGCTCAGTTTTTGTAAAAAATTTTAGAGGCTAAAAGACAAAAAAAAAGACCATTTATTAAACTTGCCCAGCTTAATTATAAACCTGGAAACCCGATCTTGTGCTTCTTCATAGTCCTTAGTCTGATTCTGAATTAATAGTAGGTATTTAACAATTATTAAGATCAAATACATAAGATTATAATATCTTATTAATTTTAGGAATTTAAAAAACATTTAAATTAATTTTAAGTCAAAGATAGTTGGAATATATCCTTAATTTATCACAAATGTTGAGCACATAAAGTCATTCTTTAAAGAAATTCTATTATCCTAAAATACACCTTCTCTATGAACTTATATGTGTAATAGAGATAAATAAAAGAAGCATATGTGTATACACACACACACACACACACATACACACACACACATCCTTTGAAAACTCCATTTGATAGTCCCAAGAATCAACCTTACTATTTATGGCAGGAACAGATAGCATTTATTTGATATGTTGACCTTTCCACCAGTTTGATTTTATACATTCAAACTTTTCAAACCAATGCCTGGATTTTGGATTCATTTTTGTGGACAGGTAGGCAACCAAAAATATCAGTCCTATCCAATTTGAAAGGGTACAGACTCATTTATTGTTTAATTCTTTTACCAAATATTTTTTGTGTGGCCACTCTTAATTCCAGTAATGAATTTCCAGATACAAATTAACTAGGTTGACCAAATTCAGAGTTTTCTGGACATCCATATACCAAATAGTGGCTTCCCCCACTCTCCCAGCAGCCACCTCCCGTTCCCATACATAAATGGCAGCCAGCAATGGCTAGAAACAAAGGACTCTCTCCCAGTCCCTGAATACAGTGACATTCATTCTGAGAGAAGCTGGGGCAGCTCTTTGAAAGCCGACTTCTTCAGCTCTACAATAACACACAATGAGTTATTGACTTGTTTATATACGGAGCTCTTTTCAGTAACTAACTCTGACTCCCACAGTCTGGACAAATGATTGATTTCGTGGTTAGAAAAAGAGAAAGCTCTCGCGCTAAACTCTGTAGTGCAAACTACTTCTTCTCCATTTGTTCTGTAACTGAATAGGACCTTATTAAAATGCACTTTCCAAAAAAATACCTGCAGCTGGCCTTTATAACCATGTTTTGTATATATAAATAAGTAATTTGTCCCAGTCTTTTGTATATTAGCAGACCATTGGGAAACTTGTCAATATATATGAAGGCTGATTATCATGTTGTTTCTGCTAAAACAGTATTACCTATATTGATCTGCATGTAAAATATGGATCAAATATTTATTAATAGATCAACTGATCTATTGATCTCATGAAAACCTTGGATTTTTTATATTAATAGATTCAGTTTTCTTGTTGGGTCATGTTGATTCATTAAGCACATTTTATATAACACATATCATATACTTCACATTTGAATCATTAGCTATTCTTAATACAGAGAAAACAACATGCAGAACTATAGTTCAGAGCAATGAGAGTTTGGTTGGACTAAAAGGCTTTTCCACCTTTGGCTAGTACCTATCTGGAATGTCAATATGAATTAGGTAGACACAACACACTAGCTGGTTAAATTACTGTACCTTTTTTAAAGATATTAATAATTGAACTCTAGAGTTACTATAGTATTTTTCTCCTATAAAAGAGATTTTTAAAGATCTTAACATGTTAAAATTTTTACACAATCTGTATTATTTTTCTAAGCACACTTTAAAATATTTTGGGGAGAGTTAAAAATAAAACCCATCAGTCTGAGTGATGCACGTAAGATGGGATCACTGCTGTTCTGACTTATTTCTCCAGCAGGAGGTCTTGAGTCCATTTTCCCCTCTAGGATGTCCATAAGAGAGCTTCCTGAGCCAGCAAACATTTGAAGAATTCCTCAGAATTAAGAGCACTTTTAATTATGGTCACAAGGGGCTACATGTTTTAAAAAGAACTATATATTACTAAACTATGAACCCTTAGGGCTTTGGAGAGGGCACAGTGCCTGACACCTTAGTATTAATAGTTTTAAGTAAACTGATATAGTTTGGAAGGTAACAACCAATGGAAATTGTTTCATTGGAATCTGTTACTTCAGGTACACCTTTGTGGATTTTTTTCCCTTAGTTTCTAAACTAACTGCTTAATGTGAATTTATTCCTTTTTATCTTCTGTTTGTCTAACCAGACCATTTTCCTGAAAAAATTTTGTTCAGTTTTCTTTGACAGAGCCATTATGTTTCTTGTTTCTTTCATTTTGGATACTGTTCTTGACTAGTTTCTTGATTGTTCTATTCTGGTTGCCATTAGTATTGAATGAACCGAACTTTAACCTAAGTATGTATGGCTAATGTTTGTTACAAGTTTTAAAAATCTTAGCAGCAAGGCCTGACAAAAATGATGAATGAAACCTTCCTGTTTAGCTTGTTAGATTTTCATGTGCACAATGACTATTTGAAGATGCCTTCTTATATTTAAAAGGGACAAGATATATTTAGAACCAAGTGACTTGATTTCCTCCTCCCCTACATGGTGGGGATTTGATTTTTCAGTTATATACAAATTTTATCCACCTTTCTGTTTCCAATTTTTAATTTTTGAAATCTCTACCCTTCTTAACACATGAAAAATCAACCTCAGAAATATCAAACCCATTGACAAAAAGTTATTTCATATATTTTAGATAAGAACAGCAAATCGAAAGCATATAGTTTTATTTTAATGAAGAAACAGGATATTCTCATTAAAGGTGACAGGAGAGAAGAATCTTACCATTGTTACCATGTCATGGGGTTTGAGGGAAAGATGCTGTTAGCACTGCATATTATTAATACCTCAGGCTGAAAATGCCCTTTCTTAATTTGACTTTTTACTTTCAGCGATTTCCTCTAAATGATTTCATTAAAATGTATCTTTTGGAATGCCTTGTCTATTTCTAGAAAAGGACCCATGTGTGTATCCTTATATTTTGATGACCATTTATTTCTTAATATCTTACTGCACTTCCCTTTTGGGACTATGCTGTGATGCTTTTCAGTAGCATTGGTCTGTTTTCCCCCTTTTATGTAGATTAGCTAGTGCTTCTTTAGTAGTTGAATATTAGAGTGGAGGTGATTTTTTTTTTTCCAACTGTGGTGCTTTCAAAGGTAAAGAATTCCCACCTTTTGAATAAAAAGTTCCCTGGCAGCAGTTCTAAATGTCATGGCCCTGAAAACTCGTTAGCATCGGCCTCACCTGCTGTGGCACCAAAGAGTTTCATGGCTCTGTTTTTGTTTTGTTTTGCTTCCCTTTAAGAAAGATCTGTTCTGAAAGTTTTTGCATTTGGAAATAAATTTTGTAAAGAATAGATGAACTTGGTAAATATTCTCCAGTCCCTCTCTTCTACACCCGTTTCCTCTCGAGATGAGAGCTCCCCTGATCAAATAAACAGATGCTTGAGACCAATATGTTGTGCCATGGTTCACACCTAGGCTTCCATGTGTGGAAGTTGAGCTTGATATTTAAGTTTTCTTAGTATTAAGGGCTTTTTTATATATCCCTTGAAAATAGTTTCACATAATGATTTTTCAAAAACTCTTTATCACTGATTCTCAGTCTAGGGCAGGGATTGGCCAACCACTGCTTGTTGGCCAAATTCAGCCTGCCACATGTTGTTATTGTTGTTTTTTAAAGTTTTGTTGAAGCACAGTCATGCTCATATACATATATATACATGACTCTGCCATTGTAGCATGAAATAGATATGTATATACGTGTATATATATATAATGTGTGTGTATATATATTTAGTGTCTATTTCATGCTACAATGGCAGAGTCAAGTAATTGCAACAGAGATTGTATTCTCCCCCCACCCCCATAAAGCCTAAAATATTTACGATCTGGCCCTTTACAGAAACATTTCCCAACTCCTTATCTAGGGTGATCATCAGAATCACCAAAAGATTCCTGGGCCTTTTCTCTCTAACAAAACGGAATCTCTGATATACTTAGCTGTGTCTCATATCATCAGATGAAGTGTCTACAGGTTTAATACTATTATTCTAGTATATATGCACATCTAGATTCAAGAGGTCATATTTTTGAACCTCCCTTCCTCTATTTTATGCCAAATATAGGAGTAAGTCTTCAGGTAGGGTTTGGATTAAAGATTTATGTTCACTCAGACATGATTTTCCAGGCATACAATTGAGAAAGCTTACTTCAAATAACAACACTAACAAAACAAAATGTAAAAACATGGTCGTTATTCATTTTTACTCCAATCCTCAATAAGGAAATATGGTATGGCAAGTCCGTTGCTAAAGAATTATTAAATATTCCAATTCAGAGGGTTCTCTGTTAGGCTCTTGTTCTCTATTAATGTCAGTCTGTTGAGCAAATATTATTTTGGGAGTTTAACATCATTTTTGTTTGAAAATAAGAATTTCATATAAAACATAACAATTGCATGTTTAGCATGAAAATAGCATTTGTTTCTATAAGGATTATTTATAAAGAAATATAGAATGGGCCACATTCATTTTTTTGTAACACATGGGTTGGCAGCAGTAGTAGAAGACCTTTATCTAGCTTTGTAAATGGAGCAGGTTCAAAGTAACTGTTTATGTATTTAGATACATGATCCTTTGTCATGAAATATTATAAGTGATTTAGCACCATTCTAGACTGTTGAACTGACACATTTAGTTTATGTCATTGACTTCTTATCCCGACATAACAGCAAACAATTTACTCCCTATGCATAATGAAAGGATTTAATAGAAATATTAACCTAATTTTTTTTTAAAAAGTTGCTGTGTCCATTTTAATGAAGTGCTTTAAAAAAGTACTCATCAGTGTCTAATATCTGCAGTTAAGGACACTCTTGCCCTAAGTCATCTTTAGTAATCCTCAAAACAATAAAAGATTGAAAGTAAAAGATTCAGTTTGTTAAATGTTTTAAATATAAAAATGAAATTCAGAGTTTATTTTCATGTACGTATCATCAAAATTAATATCAAATCACATTCATGATTATGCTTAACTAGTTGTTTGAATAAATGTTGCTATTAGGTGTCAATAGATACCTGCTTTCATGCTGTTTATTTGTTTTTTCTAGTTGAACCTGGTCATGAATGAACAGAAGGAGAAAATTACAGAAAAAGTCATTCTTTCAATGACGGCAAAGGAACACCATAAGGAACAGGAAGAAGTAAGGAAATTACTTTGTAAACTGTATTTTAAAACTGCAATGAGGGCCAGGCACAGTGGCTTACGCCTGTAATCCCCGCACTTTGGGAGGCCGAGGCGGGAAGATCACAAGGTCAGGAGTTTGAGACCAGCCTGACCAACATGGTGAAACCCCATCTCTACTAAAAATACAAAAATTAGCTGGGCGTGGTGGCGGGCGCCTGTAATCCCAGCTACTCAGGAGGCTGAGGCAGGAGAATCGCTTGAACCCGGGAGGCAGAGGTTGCAGTGAGCAGAGATTGCGCGACTGCACTCCAGCCTGGGCAACAGCGAGACTCCGTAAAAAAAAAAAAAAAAACCTGCAATGAACACTAATTTTAAAATGAAGATAAATTTTACTTTGAGTCTTATAGTAAATCAACTCTTGTTAACTGAAAACAACTTATGATAGAAACAAAGTGATCACAACCGGGTATCATTTTATTGATATAGACAGCATGAAAAGTAATTGTATACTTGAAAGAATAAATCAAAATATAATTTTCTGAAAAAAGTCTCATGAATATTTTCTCATAAGTTTTCTAAATTAGTAAATTGTTACATGCAATTTGAAACTGGAAGTTATAAAACCTACCAACATAGGAAAAACAAAAATTTTTTGAATTTTTGATAAATACTATATCTTGCTGTTACATCTGGTTTTCTAAGAATAGAGTTATTGTTCTGAATTTTAGAAATACTAACAAAGTTATTTTTTATCAAGGGAAAACTATAGTTTACAAATGTTAAGCCTAAGTGAGCTAATCAGAAGATTCTGTAGGCAATATTGTAATGAGGAACAATATTATTATTAAAGCAAACCTTCCTCTCTTCAAAGCTCATGCTGTAAAGTTGACAGCATAGTCCATAAATGAAATAATACAAAATTGGTGTTAGACAAAAGGGGAAAATGATTTTCATGTCGTTTCCTGGAATGCAAAAGCATTTAATCTTTCTAAGGAAAGAATGTGAATTTTCTAATTTCTATGTACCACTGTCAGTAAAAATCCAAAGTAACTTCAGAAATAAGATAATGTGAATATTTTAAAAATAAACTTTTCATATATTTCTTTTTTGATATTTTGGTAAATAAATGCATTCAAGCTTCAGGGTTTTGGTATTTCTTATTATGATTTCATCTTCCTTACTAACCATGTGTTTTGTAATAGATGAACAGGTAGCATGCACCAAATTTTCCTGTGTAAATTCTATTCTTACATTAGAGACCATATTAGTATTTGGGACACACTTGTCTGGTATTAAAGACTATATTGTAAAAATTGATTAGCCATCTCAGTAGATAATATTTCATAAGGAAAATTAAACCATTTCTAAAATGTAATAAATAGCAATTACACAGATTTAAATTATAGTTCTGACTCATTCTCCTGAATATTAACAAGTTACAAGACTAGGTTGTTAATTATAAATTTGAAAAAATATCATTCTCTGTGTGTTTGAAAAATGTTTTACCAGAATTGGAGAATTTAATTACATTTTCACAGTAAGCTAAAAGTGAATCTACCATGTATCTTGGAAACTTTGGGAAATGCAAAGAAGTCTCTCTAGATTAATTAGTATAATTAAAATAATATCTATAGCAATACCAATTATCATTAGAGATTAAATAGAAAATATTGTAAAAGAATGACAGATTATTTTCCTTTTAAACATTGTAATTATTTTGCCTTTTGATATTTTATGCAAAATTAAAATTTCAATGACTAAAAACTTGAAGTGGCCTTGGAAAATGATCAGTATAGCAAATACGTAGTTTTAAATCTTACCTTGTTAGCAACATTGGAAATGAAAATTATCTTTTCTGGAAAATCTAATGGCAATTATGCTTATTTGGTGTTTCTTCTTTGTTATCATCATCTTTATTTTTTTAGCACTATATATTTCAGTGTTCTTCTTACACAATGCCTTAGTTTGTCATATATTTGCTTTTTCAGCTCTGGCTCAAAAAGTCTTTTGCTTACTTCAAAAACAAATACACAGCGAGGAGAATACATATTCATGTATGTGTATGTTCATATGTGTGTGTACATCTGATACTTTCTAAATATATTCCATAGCCTCTGAAGATAATTTCTGTGTGATTACTTGGAAAGTGATTATATTAATCTGGATGTGTAAGTTCTAACTTTTTGTTAGAAAAAATCTAAAAGACTCTTTTTAGAAAAGTCCTTGTTACCACTAACATAACTCTCTTGCCAGGTGAGTTATGAAGGCATTTAAGATAACACTATTTTCAGTTGTTTCTTACTCCTTGAGTGGATGAGGAAGTTAGACTGTTGAATAGCTTAAAAAACTTTTGATTAGAAAAAGTCTAAAACTTTTAGGGCTAAAGCATCAAGTCTAATCAACATACAGAGAAAGGAAATCCTAATGGAAAAGAGAAAGGAAAAATTTGGTGGTGAATTTACTTCAATATTTTTCCTATGATTTGTATACAAATACATTCTTAGATAATTCTCAAAACCCAAATTAAACATCATAAAATCTGAGATTTAGATCTTCCACTGCCTACAGTTTTATCTTAAAATCTTGTTTCATTTCACATAATTTTCCACATGAAATTTGGGAGTAACAGTAACGTATGCATCGTAAAACCACTTTGAGGTGATGATATATGTTAAGCTTTTTTAAAATTTTTTTAAAAATTTTTTTATTTTAGAGATAGGCTCTCTCTCTGTTACCTAGACTAGAATGAAGCAGTGTGATCATAGCTCACTGCAGCCTTGAACTCCTGGGCACAAGTGATCCTCTTGCTTCAGCCTCCTGAGTAGCTGGGACTTTAGGCATATACCACCATGTCCAGCTCATTTAAAAATTTTTTTGTAGAGATAGGGTCTTGCTATGTTGCCCAGGCTGGTCTTGAACTCCTGGCCTCAAGTGATCCCCTCACCTTGGCTTCCCAAAATGCTGGGATTACAGAGGTGAGCTACTATGCCCAGCCACATTAAGCCTTTTGGAAATTTGCATATGACTTATTATTATCAGTATAAAAGTGCATTATTCCAGGTTCTGTATAATGTAGGTACCAAGATGACATTAAATGTGTAGAATGTTATTAGAAGAAATGCCTATGAGAGAAAATGGAGAGAGCACTGGATAAGGCTGAGAAATCTGTCAGACTGAAATGCAGGCCTGACCCAAATGAGGGAGGAAAGGAAGGTTGGGTGAAAACATCCTGGACCACTGTGAAGTCTAAAGATTTGGCAAAACTGTTGGTGGATTTTTGAGCCAAACTTGGCCATCAGAGGAGTCCTGTGACTCTCAGGGATAGACCTGCCTTAGTATCCTCAGACATTGGTGCTAACCTGGGGATGGATTTCAGAGCACAGTAGATGGTACCCATGGTCACTTATGCTCTTGGAGTTAGAGGTCTATGAGACACAATGTCATAGCTGTCCCCATAGGTATAATTGACATCATCCTTGTTGCTATCAACATAACCCCATTGCCAGAAGAGTTATGAAGACAGTGAAGTTGTCTGTTTTCAATTGTTCCTTCTCCCATGAGTGGATGGGTATGATGTTAGATAGTTGAATAGGCCTAAAAGCAGCACATAAGGTACCTCTGGCTGAAAATAGGTTAGATCTACCTCCAATATGTTTCTCATCTCAGAAGGGTTCTAGGAAGCTATTAAAAATTTGGTAGTATTTGGGCCAGGCGTGGTGGCTCACGCCTGTAGTCCCAGCACTTTGGGAGGCTGAAGCGGGCAGATCACTTGAGACCAGGGGTTCGAGACCAGCCTGGCCAACATAGTGAAACCAATCTTTACTAAAAATACAAAAATTAGCTGAGCATGCTGGTGCATGCCTGTAATCCCAGCTACTCAGGAGGCTGAGGCAGGAGAATCACTTGAACCCGGGAGGTGGAAGTTGCAGTGAGCCGAGTTCGTGCCACTGCACTCCAGCCTGGGCGACAGAGTGAGACTCTGGGTCAAAAAACAAAAACAAAAACAAAAAAAAACCCACAAAAATTTGGTAGTATTTGAAGTGCTGGCAATAAGAGGTGCTACGCACTTCAGATTTCCTGGTTAGTTACACCCAGCTCAACTTCCAAATCAAGGGATAGTTCACTTTGCTCTCAGGCTCCCATGTTTTTTCCAATCTTCATTCAACAAATTAGGGTTCTGTTTCCTTCTTACCGCTTAAAACATTGTATTATTGGCCCTGAAACCAAGAAGAGATTTTAGGCAGTTTAAAATACTAATTTTATTTCCCTGCCTCCTTTATGTTTCATCTTAAATATGCTGTTAATTAGAAAGTTTCCTGATCTTAAATTGAAGTGCTGACCTGGCTTTGAGACCATTCCGTGTGTTACATGCCTAGATGACGTTCCTAGTATAGAGGCTGCCACCGTTTGTGCTGATTTCAAGTGACAGTTCTGTGCAAAGTGCTCTGGATTTCTCCTTAATAACATGGGTGGATTCAAGCCCACACAGAATTCAGGCTGACAGCTGAACTCATCACTAGAAAAACCAGGAGCTCCACAAAGAGTCATTAATAATAGCCAATGTACAGTATTCACAATGTATGGCTCAGAAATGCATAGCTTCAACATGTCTGCTTTTGAAGACTGATTATAAACAGAATAACACTTTGCTCTGACTATAAATCATCTTGAGAATTTAATTGAATTCAAAGGTTGCTTGCATACACCATACAAACATGATCAAACTGCCCTACATGTTATGCAAAAACCTGTCTGTATGTTTATAGACATGTGCACATTTGTATTCTTTCAGAAGTTTGGGTTTGTTTTCTCACCAGAATATTCAATATTTTTTTGCTACCTTCTGCTTATTTGTCACTCTCCCAAATTCTGTACAAGTGTCACTTCCGTGCTGCATTTCCACGGAGAATGAAGAGTAGAATGTGTAGGCTTTCTGCTGCACAATGAGATGGTGCATTTTTTCAACATATGCATACGTAAGCCTTCTTTTGTGAATGGGACTGATAGGGTCAGATAATGTTTAAAGGGAAAGGCTTTATGTCTCTCAGGCCTCTATGTTTCCACATGGATGCCCCCACACACACATAGATTGAATTATGAACAGACCCATTAATGCTGGGATCACAAAAGGTCAAGTTTTGTCTTCTTTTACCCCTATTCACATTGCCTTTGTAGAGGAAAAAAAAAGGATTTGAAGAAAAAAAAAGATTCACGTTGAAGAATTTTAAAGAACACTTTCCCCCTTTTAGCAATATCTGTGATTGGGAAAAAAAATCATATTATGTAAAATAATTCATGAGTATTATATTACCTACCTGATTTTAGTATATGAGTTATTTCATGTGTAGAGTTGTCTTTTAGGATGACATGTTATCATAATAACTGAGAACAAAACATAACACTTTGGGGATAAAAGACCTTATGAATATGTAAAGTAACATCAAGTTTGAGTAAAACTGAATGGAAACATTATCAAAATGTCAGTGACAGGATTCTTGATATATTTTCTCCTGTGTTTAAGATATGTTAATCTTTGCTAGATACCTTGAGAGTTTTAAGTTATTTTTAAAAATCAGGTGATAATTGGTGTAATTTTGTTTCACATATGTTAACAGATTATCCTGGAGCCAATAAAAATAGTAGAGAAGGTTTCTGAAGCAACCAAAAATCTATGCCGGATGAAACTTTTAAGACTTTAGCCAATAGCCCTTTAGAGTGCAAATGACATCATCAATTGTATGGTTGGTTGATTTTTGATGTCACATGAAATCCCCTATCAGTGAAAGGCTATGGATTGTGACAGTAAAACCAGTCATGTATAAAAATGCCCTCAAATCAAAGTCTGAGTTTCCTCCCTTTTTTTGTGTGTGACTTGCTATAGCACAAGGTGCAGTACATGAAATTATAGAGAACATTATAATTGACTAGTGAAATACAATGCATGATACTTAGTAGACTTTAAAGACTGCATAACATTGTATCTTCCTAAATCACATGATGCTGGAGATGGGTTCAGAGAGGACCAGTATTTTTCGGAAATGGAGTCCTTCTATTTAGGGCCTTTCATTCTTGGATTTTAATTTCATCAGATAACCATAAATGCAAGCCACCTGTCCTGTATTGGTCTTTAGCTTCAAGGATGTTATACACTATTATCCATTGTTTTTTAAGGATAATACTGCTGGAGGGTAGTATGATCTGGTGGTGAAAATGAGGCTGAAAGCATAGACTAATACTGGATCATTTATTATTTCCATATTTTAAATATTACAACTTTCTTGTAGAATTAACAGTACTATGGAAAGCATGGAAATTCATTCCAAAAAGTAAGAAAAGGAGGATAACGAGAGAAACTTGTCACTGGATTTTATAGCCTATAAACACCATTCTTTTCTTTTTCACATCTTCTTTCTCTTTCTTCCCTTCTCATTTCCCCCAATCACCTTCTCCCTTTAATTTCTTCCTTCCTTTTCTTTTCTTTTTCTTTTCATTAATTTTGTTTTCTTTTTTTTTTTTTTTGAGACGGAGTCTCGCTCTGTCGCCCAGGCCGGACTGCGGACTGCAGTGGCGCAATCTCGGCTCACTGCAAGCTCCGCTTCCCAGGTTCACGCCATTCTCCTGCCTCAGCCTCCCGAGTAGCTGGGACTACAGGCGCCCGCCACCGCGCCCGGCTAATTTTTTGTATTTTTAGTAGAGACGGGGTTTCACCTTGTTAGCCAGGATGGTCTCGATCTCCTGACCTCATGATCCACCCGCCTCGGCCTCCCAAAGTGCTGGGATTACAGGCGTGAGCCACCGCGCCCGGCCTAATTTTGTTTTCTTTATCTCATTTTCTTTTTTCTGTTTCCCTTAGGATTCCTCCTGACCTCCCTGTATTGTCTCTGCCTTCCATTCCCATGATATCCAAAGTTTTGTCCAAATTTCACTGGCATGAGGGTCTTCCTTATGAATAGATGATAGAAATTTCTAGACTCTCATTTGAATTTACAGTTAAAGGCTGACTCTTAGTAACCTACTATATAAGTTATATAGGATTGTAGGGATTTAGTAGAATGCAATGTGTTTATCAGCTTTTGGTAGATTGTGCTGTATAAGTCAAGGAGCCCAATAGCTGAGTGACTTAAAACAAGTATTCATTTTTTGCTCACTTTACATGTTGGCTACTGGTTGTTTGTGGCTCTCACCAGTATGTCTTTCTCAGTCTGAGATACGGCTTGAAGGAGCAGTTTCTATTGGGACATTACTGTTTTCATGGGGTGGGGTGGGCAGGCGGAAGAGAGCAATGGCAGAACTGCACAATGGTTCTTAAAGCTTCTGCTAAGAAGTGGCATATGTTACTTCTGTTCGTATTTCACTGGCCAAAGCAAATCACATAGGAATTCTGATGTCACATATATGTCACATATAATACTAATAGAATTATTAGTAAAGAATGAACAATAGACAGCTGACTTTGATTAAGTGCCAGATGGTAATATCCAGGTACTAAGTGCTGGAAGGTCTGCTAGAGGAAGTGGGGTTTCTGATGAGTGGACTTGGATATAAGAGAGGAATGAGTCATAAAACTATGGCCTAGGCATCAAGCGACATACACTTTAATTTCAGTGCCAGTATTAATTATCTGAGTATCCTTGGCAAATTAACTTTTCTGGGATGCAATTTCCTCATTTGTGGGATCAGAGTGTTGGGTTAAACATTATCTAACTTATGATACTTTAGAAATGGAAGGGATGCGTGTATGTGTGTGCAAGGGGACAGTGAGAAGAGACATTTGGTTAGAGGAGAGGGGTCTGATGGGAATATGAGCCATAAAGCCAGGTAGAGATCAGATTATAAAGGGTCTTAGAATCTTGAATACCAAGCTCAAGAATCTGAAGGAGCAGCTAGGTGGTTTAATATACTTTTCAAGGTGGATGAATTTGGTGGAGGTGACCTAATGGCATGGAGGGGAAGAGATGGGAACAGGGAGACCGCTTAGTAGGTATTTTGTTAATCCAAACTGGGGAGGGGGATGAGGGGATTGAGGGCTATTACTTATAAGAAATGAAAGAATGGATATGACATATACATATTTAGAAGAGGGATCTGCAAAATATAGCCCTGGGGACAAATCTAGCCTGCAGCTTATTATTATTTTTTTTTGTAAATAAAGTTTTATTTCAACACAGCCATGCCCATTCATTTACATATCGTCTGTGTCTGCTTTCCAAATACAATTGTAGGGTTAGATAATTTTGACAGATACCTTATGGCCTACAAAGCCAAAAATATTTACTATGTGACCCTTTTTAAAACAAGTTTGCCAACACTTTGTTTAGAAGAAAGGATTATTTAAATGGAGTAGACAATTTATTACATAGGAACAAATAAGAGGGATATGGGAAAAGAAAGTAAAATAGGAATCATTTTAAGTTAACTTGTTTCTATGCATGTAACACTTGTAAAGGTCTTGGTAAAAGTCAAATGTAATTGAAATTTATATGTATACATATACATATAAACTTGAACTAAATAAGTAGAGTAGATAATACATTTAGGTCATATGAGTAATAGTGCACACTGGCTGTCACTAACTTCTCTGAATGCTCTGCAGAAGGGATAGAAATAATGGATTTAACATCAGAATTAGAATATAGGCGGGGCAAATACCATATTTTTAGCTGACAAAGAAGTGGATGAGATGTAAGTACAGGGAAGACTCTTGTAGAAGGATTTTCCATTTTATCTGTGAATATTGAAATGAGCTGTAGGATCTACACAGCAAATAGTTTGGAATTTCTGACTTCCTCATGTGAAATAGTGATAGAGATAGAAAAGATAGACCAAGAAATAAAAAATTAAAACTTGTTATGCAGAAAACACCTAGATTTCAAAAAGGAAACACTATAAAAATATACCAGTACATTGGCCACTTACTGTAGGTTAGACAGTGGGCTCTCCATTTTTTCATCTAATTTAATTATCAATATGTAAAGCCAGTGTTATTCTTCATTTATAGACAAAGATTTTATTACCTGTGCAAAGTCTCCCAGTCAGTAAGTGATGAATCCAGGATTTTAACCCACGTTTTCGATGTCAATGCTCTATTCAAACTTACTCATAATTCTAAATGGGTCTAATTTGTTTAATTTGAAGAATCACAGATGAGGTAGATTTCTGTTTTTCATCTCTTATGGTCACTACCATAATATCAACCAGTGTTTATGTAAGAATCCAGCCTACTAGAGAGAATATAAGTTTACATAAAACAGTGAAGAGTCAAAGAATGGTAATGATTCTTAATTTGTAAACTATATGGGTGAAAATGTTAACTACTGCTATTAATAATCCACAAGTAAGGCTCATATGTCTGTCTAAAATATACCAAGTAGAAGTCTAGAAATTTAAAAATCAAGGTTACAGATTCCTTAGCCTTTGGTGTTTCTGGAAAAACTATACGTTTTATTTTGACATTAATATATATTTAAAATATTTTCCAGAACAGAGCATTGTCTTTGAAGTTATATACATTTTAGAAAATTGTATCTATGAAATGTGGGAAAAAGTATTGGAATATTTGGGAGGAAGATAATAGGTTAACTTTAAAGGTCAACAAAATGATAATGAATTTAATATATATATTGAAAATTTAAATGTTACACATAATAAAATAAAATATTCTAAAAAGGAAGATACATGTAGTGAAATGAAATATTTGGTGGTAGGTTACATACATTGGATTATTTAAAGTCCTAGGAGGGTTTTATTTTGTTAAACAGTTTAAAAGTCCTTTGCAAACTTGTCAAATGTATATGTTTCTTTTCATATCCAGAGATATTTTTCATTCAACAATTGTAAAGGGCTACCTACCCCATATTACTGAAGTGAAAATGTTAGACATTTTTTCATAAATAAAAGTAGATGTAGGAATGTATATCTCTTTCATTGTTTTTACTTGAGGATAGATCTGTACTCAAATTCCTGTATTGAAGTCATTTTCCCCCCATCAAGCTAGGTACTCAAAAATCTAATAGGTGTGACATCAACAATTACTTCTCGCTAACAACTCTTGTAATTTAACCCCTTCAGGTGAGCAGGCTGATTGATGAATTGCAGACAGCTATCAAAAGTAACATAGGTCATCTCTGTAAACTTGGCCCCCAATTACAGGCTGAGCAGGAGCAATTCTCCTCTTATGTCTACCAACACATTAAAAGCCTTCCAGCAAACACGCTTGTCCCAGGAGGCCTGCAGCTTAAGGTGGGTGTCGTTCTGTGCCTCTCATTGGATTCAGCCAGAGCAGAAGCATTCTGCTCCATTTGAAAACACTTATAACAATGCCACTTAGCTTGAATTTCTTTTAATGTTGTCTTCCTCAAACTGGTAATATTACAAGTGGTGATATTATTATTCAGGAAACAGATTTTAAAAGAAAATACCTAGAGATCTTTGAAATGTGTATTTATAAGCTTTAACTAGTTTCCAATTCAGAAAAGTAATTGTAATGAAGGAATTTACTCATGTGAACATTTGCACACTTTTCCAAGAAACAAATTTTTCACAATGGTCATGGCATATTTCAGTTTCTAAAAATAACATTTGGAGAAATGGGCAAGCTTTAATAGTTGACAGACAGTGGCAATAGAAATTGAAGGTGAAAGGCCAGGTGACTGATTGATGTTCAAACTACATTTCCAAGGAAAAGCATCTGTATTGGATAAGTGTGACACATGTTGGAGTTCACTTGGTAAAATCAATACTTAAGAATATACTGGGAAAAAAGGTGAATTGGTTATTTGTCAGGACAAGATCGCTAAATGTCCTCTACTACTTTGCTATTGCATCTTTGAGAGAGATAAAGAACAACTCATACTTGGCTAAAGTGGTTTTGGTACTAAAAGCTTAGGGAATTTAAATACTTTTGATTTTCATAGCAGATATTCCATGTTAAGTTTGTCAAGTTAATATTGTCCTATAATTTCATATCCTGCATTTCAAGAGATTGTAGTTAGTAAAATTTGAATTACTCACAGTGTAGCCTATTTCCATTTAAGAAATCATGGTTACTACAACTCGTCATTTCCTTTTGATTATTTTTATGGGTATGTGATAACATTCGAAGTAAATTATATTTTGATCAACCTTCATCTCTGCAATTCCTCTTTCTTAATATTGTTTTATTCTGCAAGTAACATTAGAAACATTATATTTTTGACCAATAACATTTCTTTTAATGACATTCCCGTGTGTATTTTGAGTGAGAACATTACAATGTAAAAATGGACTTTTTGGGAAATGTAATTTCATGTTAAACATGATAATTTATTTCTCATAGTCTGCTAGTCAGCTAAGGGTTTAGGAAGTGATGTTCAAGACATCAAGGTCAAGGGTTTCTATAGTGCAGTAGCATTGTTCTTTTCCAGGTTTTTGACTTGATTACAAATCCATTCTGCAATTTTGCAAAGTACTTGCTATTGATTAAGAGAGAAACCAGGTGAGGGAGAGTGGTTGTTTTCTAGAAGGATGCAGCTGCTAAGAAAAAATAAAAAGGGATGGGGAAGTGTAGTTGCTTTAATGGCATTCATCCTACTCATTTGT
Source organism: Homo sapiens (assembly GCF_000001405.40). NCBI lineage: Eukaryota > Metazoa > Chordata > Mammalia > Primates > Hominidae > Homo > Homo sapiens. The sequence goes on along the minus strand of NC_000011.10, from coordinate 31,126,130 downwards.
ATCAGCAGCTATTCGTATGAACTACGGTGTGACTTGGGGAAAAAAAGTGTTTTGTTTTCCCTCAAGTTCACTGCTTATTTCTGAAGAATTTCTATCACTTATACATATTGGCACATGGGCTGGGTAACAGATACTTAACTTTAGGGTCAGAATTGTCTCTCTCATATATACTCCCTTTTTTGCATTTTATTTTAATTTTAATTTTTTTTTAAGTTCTAGGGCACATGTGAAGGATGTGCAGGTTTGTAAACGTGTGCCATAGTGATTTCCTGCACTTATCAACCCATCACTTAGGTATTAAGTCCAGCATGCATTAGCTCTTTTCCCTAATGCTCTACCCCCCACCCAACCGCCCCTGATGGGCCCCAGTGTGTGTTGATCCCCTCCCTATGTCCACGTGTTCTCATTATTCATCTCTGACTTATAAGTGAGAATATACAGTGTTTGGTTTTCTGTTCCTCAGTTAGTTTGCTGAGGATAATGGCTTCCAGCTTCATCCATATGCCTGCAAAGGACATGATCTCATTCCTTTTCATGGCTGCATAGTATTCCATGATGTGTAAGTACCACATTTTCCTTATCCAGTCTATCATTGGTGCACATTTGGGTTGATTCCATGTCTTCGCTATTGTAAATGGTGTTGCAATGAACATACACATGCATGTATCTTTATAAGAGAATGATTTATATTCCTTTAGGTATATACCCAGTAATGAGATGCTGGATCAAATGGTACTTCCAGTTCTAAATCTTTGAGGAATCACCACACTGTCTTCCACAATAGTTGAACTAATTTACATTCCCACTAACAGTGTAAAAGTATTCCTATTTCTTTGCAACCTTGCCAGCTTCTGTTTTTTCTTGACTTTGTAATAATCACCATTCTGACGGGCATGAGATGGCATCTCATTGTGGTTTTGATTTGCATTTCTCTAACGATCAGTGATGTTAAGCTTTTTTTCATATGTTTATTGGCCACATGTACGTCTTTTTTTAAAGAAGTGTCTATTCATATCCTTTGCCCACTTTTTAATGGGGTTGTTTTTTCTTGCAAATTTGCTTAAGTTCCATGTAAATTGTGGATATTAGACCTTTGTCAGATGGATAGATTGCAAAAATTTTCTCCTATTCTGTAGGTTGTCTGTTTGTGCTGATGATAGTTTCTTTTGCTGTGCAGAAGCTCTTTAGTTTAATTAGATCCCATTTGTCAATTTTTGCTTTTGTTGTGATTGCTTTTGGTGATTTCATCATAAAATCTTTGCCCATGCCTGTATCCTGCTCTTTATTGCCTAGATTTTCTTCTAAGGTTTTTATAGTTTGGGGTTTTATAGTTAAGTATTTAATCCATCTGAGTTTTTTGTATAAGGTGTAAGGAAGGGATCCAGTTTCAATTTCCTCCTATGGTTAGCCAGTTGTTGCAGCACCATTTATTGAATAGGGAATCTTTTCCCCATTGCTTGTTTTTGTCAAGTTTGTCAAAGATCAGATAGTTGTAGGTGTGTGGCCTTATTTCTGGGTTCTGTATTCTGTTCCATTGGTCTACATGTCTGTTCTTGTACCAGTACCATGCTGTTTTGTTTACTGTAGCCTTGTAGTATAGTTTGAAGTCAGGTAGCATGATGCCTCCAGCTTTCTTCTTTTTTGATTAGGATTGTCCTGAGTGTACAAGCTCTTTTTTGGTTCCATATGAACTTTAAAATAGTGTTTTCTAATTCTTTGAAGAATGTCAATGGTAATTTAATGGGAATAGAATTGAATCTATAAATTGCTTTGGGGAGTATGGCTGGTTCAACATACGCAAATCAATAAACATAATTCACCATATAAACAGAACTAAAGACAAAAACCACATGATTATCTCAAGAGATGCAGAAAATCCCTTCGATAAAATTCAACATCCCTTTATGTTAAAAACTCTCAATAAACTGGCTATTGAAGGAATGTACCTCAAAATAATAAGACCTATTTATGACAAACCCACAGCCAGTATCATACTCAATGGGCAAAAGCTGGAAGCATTCGCCTTGAAAACTGGTACAAGACAAGGATGCCTTCTCTCACCACTCTTATTCACTCCCTTTTAATGTGCTTTAAAATACTTTCCATACCAGCAAACAAAAGAGGAAATTTACATATGCAAAGAAGCCATGTTGTTGTATTTGTTTAGATTCACTATGCTGTCTAGTAAAGTAGCCACTAGTCACATATGGCTACTTAAATTTTAATTTTAATTAATTAAAATAAAAGAATATTTTTCTAGTGGTTTCCCAGGACTTTCCTTATTTTAGCACTAAAAAGCCTGCATCCAGCAAACCAAGATGGTTGGTCACCCTGGTCTTTTCTCCAGAATTCTTTCTCCCACATCCCAGGCATTCTCTTTTTATGATTTTTTTCCCCTATAAAGTACTCAGCTCCATTTGCTTCTGCTTCCTCTCTTCTCAGGTTTCTCCTTTGCAACATCTAGCTTCTCTCAGAAAATAAGTTCCTCTTCCACATCTCAAGAAACCTGGATATCAGCCCCATTCTCAGGCTTAGAAAAATGACATGGCTGCATGTTAGAATATTCTGGAGGTTTTTTTTTTTTAAGATACCAATGTTTCCATCCACAGATATTTTGACTTAATTGGTTTCCTGTGCTAAGACTAACTTCTACCAGCTTGGAGGCACTGATTAAGTTTTCAGGAATTTTGTAAGCCAGTTGTTTTATATAGCCATTATTTAAAAATCATATGAATTTACAATGAAATAGGTCATACACTTCACTTCCTAATTTTTAAATTACATTTTACTATTACCTATTCTCTTGAAGTTATTTAGACCTATTGTGTTTGTTTAGTGTAAACACTATATAATAGTGTGTGCTACCGTGCATTTCTTCCTAAGTTTATTTTCAGGGATGGCTTGTTGTATCTGAAAATTGGTTGTGGTCAGAGTATTTATAAAATAGAAATTGGCAAATACTATAAATGAGGGCTTGATTTCATGTTTTATTGATTGTCTAGACTAGGGAGTTGAAATACCACACACTGTGGGCCAAATCTGCCTGTTTTTTTTTGTAAATACAGTTTTACTGGAATATAGTGACACCTTTATGTTTGTGTATTGTCTATGGCTGCTTTTATATTACCAGGCAGAGTGGAGACCATATGACTTGAAAAGCCTAAAGTATTTACTATTGGGCCTTTTAAAGAAAAGTTTGTTGATCTGTGGTCTAGATTTAAGTATGTGACAGAAAATATTCACAATGCAGATTAAATTCAAAAGTGCAAAATTTCTGTGTGTTGCATTGTGAATAGCACAAAAATTGAAATATTCTTTCAGTATATGGAAATCATTATCTGATTCAGCAAAGAACTTGCCCATGTCATTGATTAACAAGAGCGGTCCTACATATGTCTTCTTTCTTTCATTTTTGTCTTATCAACATGGATGAAAATATTAATCAACATTCGGGTCAGAACCACACTCATTTCTCAGTTGCAACCATAGGATGGATGTGGATACAAGACTTGGCAAAAATCAGTGAAACCACTCTTGAGAGTGAGTTGGCTATGTAGAATTTACAATAAAAAGTATTAGATATTTTATTATTATTTGCAAATTATATGTTATGTGATCCTTGTATCAGCAGAATTTATAATAATCACCCCCTTCCTTAAGCAGGTTGCTAAACATTTACCAGCACATCTTCAGGTGTGGTGCAAGCATCAGCATTTTTTCAAAAGCTCCCAAATGATTTTATTGTATAGGCAGGACTGACAATCATAGCAAGATTACCAAAGCAGCTTTTTAAGCATAACCAATAGCACCCCACAAAGAAATTCTCATTCCAATTGCTAAGTAGCTAAAACTTTTCTCTATACTTATATCTTAGAATTCGTGATGGTGGTGGTGGGAATTCTGTATATCCTGTCAGGTGGGGAGAACTTGCTAATTCCAACTGAAGACACATGGAGCAAAGGCCGCAGTGTACCATCTTGCATTAATTCCAGAATCAACTCATATCAGTTACCTAGCTAACCCTCTAAATTCCCATGGGTGTATATGGAATGGCCTACCTTCCTTTGGACACCATCTCTAACTCAGTTACCTCTGACTCACTGTGGGCAAGGGCCACATCTTTTCTGATTATGAACAACTTTATCCCACCTTGTGGCACGTACTATCATAGAGTGTTAAATGACTTATCAATAAACAAATATATTTTCCATTTATAACTGAACTTACTATAGCTTACATAGCCCTAGTAAAGCATTTTTCCTGTTTTCTGTTCATTTTAATCTTAGAAAGTATTTGACAAAAAATAAATGGGGATGATTATCTTTCTAAACTTCATTTCATGATTTTCATCACTCTGTTACATATATATGTAAGCTCACAGCTCAACTTCAAGAATCAAAATAATGTATTGTAGCCAACATCATCTTGTAGAGCAGTGGTCTCAACCAGGGGCTGGAGGCAGGGTGCAATTCAAAATCCTCTGAGCTGCTTTTTCATATTGTATATGGTGTTCTTAACCTCTTCACTGAGCTTTTCATCCTTATCACGTCTTGCATTGATCAGTGAACAACAGCAGCTTTTGGTTTGGTCTTAACGTTAGAAAATCACCTCTTAAAAGGACACTATTTCTGTGTTCCATATTGCCTCACTCCCATTTTTGCAATCATGTGACATAATACAGTGACAAGTTTAAATGGGCATACAAGATAAAAAACCGGGAGCAGCCTCTGTGTGGTTGCTCATTTCTGCCATAGGAAAGTTCCTTGTTTAAAAAAAAATGGAAACATAACACCATTTGAGGAATTTTAGGAAAGAGTTGTATCACCTGTAATTGCATTGTTCCTAATGATCATTGTCACCTTTCACGTCATTTTCATGTGCACTCGTATATTCTATATAGTCACAACCACAATTTATTTGTATTTGTACTCCAGTACATTCTCCTGCCATCAAGTCATAGCACCTTGTAAGTTGAAAATTTCTTACTGTTTTTACCATCAGTGGTTACACTCAATGTGCACCATCATCTACAAAGCCCTTCAGGCAACAAGTGTTTTGGAGCAATTTCTTACTATTCTAAACTTTCTCTTACCCCTTATTCCCTGTCACTGCCACTACCCCCAGTCTCTTTGAGAACATCTGCTAGAGCCATGGCTCAGTGACTTCTGCCTTCCTAGTCCTGTTCTTTCCATGCAACTCCTCCTCCTCTTCATCCCCATGGAAATGTCAGCAATGTTAGCATTTCCCTGGGAGGGCAGGAAAGAAAGGATTGCTGGGAAAGGGTATTAGCAAATCTGTAGGGGGATGGTGAGTGGAAAAGCTAGTAGGAAGGTGGGTGATTGTGACAGAGAATTGATGAGCAAGGAGAATGTGTGATGTCTGAGTAGGTGGGAGAAAGCATGAGGGAATGAGAGGAAGATGAGTACAGGCATATCCTTTCACTGGAATTAGTGAATTTCACACACAATTGGTCAGTGATGCTCTGAGAGTTGTTTTCTATTTGCTGCCAGTAGAGGCAGATCCA